>NC_000002.12:31034127-31186877 GCF_000001405.40 Homo sapiens | reverse complement strand
ATGTTATGAATATGCCTCAGTTTTAAAAATTCAGATGTTTGATACTTATATTTCACTGATATATTTTAAAATCAAATGTTCATATAAAGAGTTTCTTTTAATAAACTCTAAGATTAAAATCTGGAGTTTTGACTGATGACATTTTATTGAGAATGAAATTCAAACCAAATTGTTGGCTAAACTTCAGCAGCACCTGGATAGCACCTTCGAGAATCACTGTTCTTGAAAGTCATGCCCTGCCAGGGTTCTCTGGGGTTGGCACCCAGTTAAAAAGCATTGTGAAGTTCTTAGGAAATCCCAGTTTAATTTCATGGCCAGTCATATGACCCCTCTGCCATCTAATGAGCCTTCAGTAACAGTTATTTTTTCTTGCCAATCTGCTTTCTATTTAGCATCCAGAGATTAATGCAGTTCAACTTCAGAACCTCCTGAACCAGATGACCTGGTCAAGTAAGTGTTTTAGAGCCATTCTGTAGGACTCAGAGGGGATGCAACTTTTCTAAACTCTGGCTTTGTTTCTCTTTCCCTTGGTGGGATGTGTGAATTACTGAGCACTGGTCTCAACTCTGGCTATATTTTACACAAGGTGGATTATGTGATCTGAAAAAGCAGTAGGGAAATTTATACAACTTTGAAAATCGTTATTATTATTTTGCTTACTTTGGGTATAGACATACATGGCAGTGAAAATGAAGATTCCTGCCATTTTGCTAGTCAGAAAGGAATAACTGAGTACCTCTTTCTTGGCATATCAATTCCATGTGGAAGAACTGCACCCATTTCCTCAACCTGGGATATGAATATTAAGTATTAACTAGCCTACCCAGGGAACTGTCTGATGAACTCATGTTAAATTGATCAAGCAACAAAACTCTGGAAGGAGAGAGCACACCACCTAGAAGAATTGCAAATGAGTAGCGTGAGGCTTTCATATGAAGCCTGGGGTAAATTATTAGAAAGGCTTAAAGTCCATATAAAATATTTTATACATATATTTGGAGTGAGAAGAACACAGAAGAAATAGGCTGATTTCTTCAGGGAGACGAATGAACTTCAAAGTAAAAAAAGTAAAACAACCAGAGTATTTGCTGCCAAAGTTAGATGATTGCTTCTTCTTTCTATGAAGCCAAGATTTATAATCCAGACAAATTACAGTCCAGGCTATTGTGTGATTCAGGGTTTGAAAGAATTTGCAAAAGGCTTCTCAAAGCCAAATTCAGTTATCAGTAAAACAGCCAGAAGGGAAGACTCTAGGAATTGTAGAACGTAAGACTCCCCTTCCCGGCTGAAAAAGAATTCTAGGCTAATTCTAGGGAAATTACCTAGAAGCAATGGCTCATGCACATTTAAAAGTTTTTAAAGGTCTTGATTGCATATATACAAAATGGTTTTCCAAAGCATTTATGAACAAATTGCTTTCATTTAGTCCTATGAGAGGGTTCTAGATGGATAAATCAGAGAAATACTGTAGATTTTGGCAAAATGTTTGGTGAGTCTCCCATGATAAATGATAAAATGTGGGTTGGAAAATAATAATAGAAGATGTATTTACAACAAATCTTATCACCATTCCCAAGAGTTATACAAATATAAAACTAGAGGGATAATTCTATCCAGTTACAGGCAAGAGTCTATATGCTTAGATGTTTAGATGAGAGTTCTTAGATTCTGTCTGCCCTTGGTCCTGTTCATTTCCCCAATTTTTATTAATGTCTTGGAAGAAGACATGGAATATAGGCTTATTGGAGCTGCAGATGGCACAAAGCTGGGAGAAATCATTAATATAATAGATAGCAGAATTGAAATTCAGAATGTTTTCAACAAGCTGTGCCCAAACCAAAAAGATGAAATGTAGTCAGGAAGATAATAAACCACTGCCATTTTGATATAGACCATTTTAAGATGGTAGCACAAGTTCTTAACAGAAGAGACTTCATTTTTGTGGCAGTTTATGTGAAAGATATTTGGTTAATTTAGTTGACCTCTAGCTAACATGAACTAATTGTTTCAAGTTGCTGCTAAATAAGCTCGTACAAATTCAGGCTGCATTTAATGGGAGCATTTAGATGTGTGCTTTTAAAATTGTGTTCCAGGAAATGCTAGAAACCAAGAGGTTTAGTAAGTGTTCCATGAAATAAAAGGGGTTAGCTTCTGTGGTTGATTGTACTTGGGTCTTTAGTACCTCACATATGGTAAAGTGCATGGCAAATGAAGAAAAGCATCAATAGACGCAAAGTATCCCACATTTCTTTGACCACAAAACTCCTCTTTCTCTGCAGAAAATCTCCTTTGAGACATAATTTGGGAAATGTTGACTGAAAACTGGAAATGATAGGTCTACTGTATTCTGTTCAATCAAATTGCATCTGGAGGACTGTGTTCAAATCTTGGCACCATATTTCAAAGAGATACTGGCAAAATGTAGGGCTCAGAAAAGGGTGTTGAGGGTTTAGAAACCATCGCATGTGAGGAGTAGTTTGAGAAATATTCAGATGTTTAGAAGGGAAAGCAAAAGTCAAAGAAGAGACAAATACCGTTTTATGCTTTTCTGGAGGTGAAACTAGGACCGTGAGCCACTATTATAGGAGGTTCCTTTGGACTTAATGAAAGAAGTTTCTCCTGACTGAAGTTCTTCACCCATGTGAAAAAGTGAGCACCTGTAACTGACAAAGCATCCATCAAGAAACCTGAGGAGGGCCGGGCGCGGTGGCTCACTCCTGTAATCCCAGCACTTTGGGAGGCCCAGATGGGTGGATTACTTGAGGTCAGGAGTTTGAGACCAGCCTGGCCAACATGGTGAAACCCTGTCTCTACCAAAAATATGAAAAATTAGCCAGATGTGGTGGCGCGCTCCTGTAATCCCAGCTACTCAGGAGGCTGAGGCAGGAGAATTGCTTGAACCTGGGAGGTGGAGGTTGCAGTGAGCCAAGATTGTGCCACTCCAGTCTGGGTGATAGAATGAGACTCCATCTCTAAAGAAAAAAAGAAAGAAAGTGAAAGAAAAGAAAGAAAGAGAGAGAGAGGGAGGGAGGGAGGGAAGAAGGAGAGAGGGAGGGAGAGAGGGAGGGAAGAAGGAAGGAAGGAAAGGAGGGAAGAAGGGAAGAAGGAAAGAAAGAAAGAAAGGACTAGTTTACAGTCCCACCAACAGTGTAAAAATGTTCCTATTTCTCCACATCCTCTCCAGCACCTGTTGTTTCCTGACTTTTTAATGATTGCCATTCTAACTGGTGTGAGATCATATCTCATTGTGGTTTTGATTTACATTTCTCTGATGGCCAGTGATGGTGAGCATTTTTTCATGTGTTTTTTGGCTGCATAAATGTCTTCTTTTGAGAAGTGTCTGTTCATGTCCTTTGCCCACTTTTTGATGGGGTTGTTTGTTTTTTTCTTGTAAATTTGTGTGAGTTCATTGTAGATTCTGGATATTAGCCCTTTGTCAGATGAGTAGGTTGCGAAAATTTTCTCCCATTTTGTAGGTTGCCTGTTCACTCTGATGGCAGTTTCTTTTGCTGTGCAGAAGCTCTTTAGTTTAATTAGATCCCATTTTTCAATTTTGGCTTTTGTTGCCATTGCTTTTGGTGTTTTAGTCATGAAGTCCTTGCCCATGCCTATGTCCTGAATGGTATTGCCTAGGTTTTCTTCTAGGGTTTTTATGGTTTTAGGTCTAACATGTAAGTCTTTAATCCATCTTGAATTAATTTTTGTATAAGGTGTAAGGAAGGGATCCAGTTTCAGCTTTCTACATATGGCTAGCCAGTTTTCCCAGCACCATTTATTAAATAGGAAATCCTTTCCCCATTGTTTGTTTTTGTCAGGTTTGTCAAAGATCAGATAGTTATAGACAAGCGGCGTTATTTCTGAGGGCTCTGTTCTGTTCCATTGATCTATATCTCTGTTTTGGTTCCAGTACCATGCTGTTTTGGTTACTGTAGCCTTGTAGTATAGTTTGAAGTCAGGTAGTGTGATGCCTCCAGCTTTGTTCTTTTGGCTTAGGATTGACTTGGCGATGCGGGCTCTTTTTTGGTTCCATGTGAACTTTAAAGTAGTTTTTTCCAATTCTGTGAAGAAAGTCATTGGTAGCTTGATGGGGATGGCATTGAATCTATAAATTGCCTTAGGCAGTATGGCCATTTTCACGATATTGATTCTTCCAACCCATGAGCATGGAATGTTCTTCCATTTGTTTGTGTCCTCTTTTATTTCATTGAGCAGTGGTTTGTAGTTCTCCTTGAAGAGGTCCTTCACGTCCCTTGTAAGTTGGATTCCTAGGTATTTTATTCTCTTTGAAGCAATTGTGAATGGGAGTTCACTCATGATTTGGCTCTCTGTTTGTCTGTTATTGGTGTATAAGAATGCTTGTGATTTTTGTACATTGATTTTGTATGCTGAGACTTTGCTGAAGTTGCTTATCAGCTTAAGGAGATTTTGGGCTGAGAGAATGGGGTTTTCTAGATATACAATCATGTCATCTGCAAACAGGGACAATTTGACTTCCTCTCTTCCCAATTGAATACCCTTTATTTCCTTCTCCTGCCTGATTGCCCTGGCCAGAACTTCCAACACTATGTTGAATAGGAGTGGTGAGAGAGGGCATCCCTGTCTTGTGCCAGTTTTCAAAGGGAATGCTTCCAGTTTTTGCCCATTCAGTATGATATTGGCTGTGGGTTTGTCATAGATAGCTCTTATTATTTTGAGATACGTCCCATCAATACCTAATTTATTGAGAGTTTTTAGCATGAAAGGTTGTTGAATTTTGTCAAAGGCCAATGTGGAAGTCAGTGTGGCGAATCCTCGGGGATCTAGAACTAGAAATACCATTTGACCCAGCCATCCCATTACTGGCTATATACCCAAAGGACTATAAATCATGCTGCTATAAAGACACATGCACATGTATGTTTATTGCGGCACTATTCACAATAGCAAAGACTTAGAACCAACCCAAATGTCCAACAATGATAGACTGGATTAAGAAAATGTGGCACATATACACCATGGAATACTATGCAGCCATAAAAAAGGATGAGTTCATGTCCTTTGTAGGGACATGGATGAAATTGGAAATCATCATTCTCAGTAAACTATCGCAAGGACAAAAAACCAAACACCACATGTTCTCACTCATAGGTGGGAATTGAACAACGAGAACACATGGACACAGGAAGGGGAACATCACACTCTGGGGACTGTTGTGGGGTGGGGGGAGGGGGGAGGGATAGCATTAGGAGATATGCCTAATGCTAAATGACGAGTTAATGGGTGCAGCACACCAGCATGGCACATGTATACATACGTAACTAACCTGCACATTGTGCACATGTACCCTAAAACTTAAGGTATAATAATAAAATAAAAAAATAAAAAAAAGAAAGAAAGAAAGGAAAGAGAGAGAGAGAGAAAGAAAAGAAAGAAAAAGAGAAAAAAAGAAAGAAAAAGAAAGAAAGAAAGAAAGAAAGAAAGAAAGAAAGAAAGAAAGAAAAAAAGAAAGAAAAAAAGAAAAGAGAAAGAAACCTGAGGAAAGAATCCCCCAGTTTGGTTGGGAGCTTGAACAAGTTGACCTCTTGGATCTCTTTGAGATTTGGGAGTTTGACTCTATGATCCTGGCCCTCCCTAGGTACAAAGGGCATGTTCATTTGGCCCTCTGTGTAAGCAAACCCAAGCCGTACCAGGCATCCCCTATAGCATTTGACTTTCTCCATGGGTAGGAACGACCGTCACCCCCCCGTCTCTCTACTGTCTTCCATTCTCACTCTTCCCAGCCCACGTACATACATGGTGGTCATCAGCTGGCCCATGCAGCACTGCCTCTTCCTGCTCAGAAAAGGGGTGTGCAGACCTGGGGCCAGCCCCCATGTGGACTCTTTCGCTCCTTCACAGGTCTGGGGAGCAGACAGCCCTTCTTTAGCCTGGAAGCCTGCCAGGGGATCCTGGCCTTACTGGACGTATCCTTTCAGGTTTGTGGGTGGATGCTTGCTGTTGGTTGAGAGCTTCACTCTGGAGCTAGGCAGAGTATATTTGAATCCCAACCCCAATCCTTGCTAATTGTGGGATCCTGGACAAGCCACTGAGCCTCATTATGTATCCAGATGCTCATCTGAAGCATGGAGAGAGTGTTGAAACTTACTTGGTAGGATTAACGTGGGAATGCAAATGAGATAATACAGGTAAAATGCTGGGGTCAGAGCTATCATCTAATAGGTGACCAATATTAGCCATCCATCACAATAATCTCATTTCCTGGGAATGAGGATGAGGCAGCTAGAAGGTGGTGGTTAGTAACAGCTCTCCAGGTTTACAAGAGCCTTTACAAAAGCCTTGGGGCCCTATGTTTTCCATTTAATAACTGGGCGGTGGCTGCCCCCATGCACAGATCAGGAAACCAGTGCTCAGGGAAGTTAAACAACATGCCACAAACTCAGCTGTCCTTTCTCAGCCCTGCAATTTTTCTAACAAACACACTGCCTTTCTAAGTGGATAATTGTAATCAATGTTTGATCATCCATACTATTGAGAGGCATATTGAATAGATAGCCTAAGGGGGGTTGTAAAGACAAAAACAGTCTGCAGAAACTCAGAGACAGTGCAGGATTAGGTGCACGGGCATGGAGCAGGTCCCAGCTCTGTCACCAGCTGTATGAACTTGAACAAGATCAGACCCTCTCCAAGCGCTCATTTCATCACCTGGAACATGGGGAGTTAATGCCGACCTCACCTGCTACAGGTGAAGTGTGTAACTCAGTGATGGATTCATGGTGAGGGCTCAAATAGAGATGGGGTGTGGTGGTACTTTGACCCAATGTCTCTGATGGTAGGGGTATCTGGGCATGGTCTACAAAGCCAACCATTAAACTTAAAAAAATGTAAAAGGCATCATTAGCCACTGTGTGCCTGACTCCTTCCATAAGCTGGTTTTTAAAATAATAATGAAAAAAGGTTACTATTTTTTAAATTTAAATCACATCAAATTGGCCATGTCAAAATATCCTGCCTTGATATGAACAGACACTTCTCAAAAGAAGACATTTATGCAGCCAACAGTCACATGAAAAAATGCTCATCATCACTGGTCATCAGAGAAATGCTAATCAAAACCACAATGAGATACCATCTCACACCAGTTAGAATGGCGATCATTAAAAAGTAAGGAAACAATAGATGCTGGAGAGGATGTGGATAAATAGGAACAATTTTACACTGTTGGTGGGACTGTAAACTAGTTCAACCATTGTGGAAGACAGTGTGGTGGTTCCTCAAGAACTAGAAATAGCATTTGACTCAGTCATCCCATTACTGGGTATATACCCAAAGGATTATAAATCATGCTTCTGTAAAGACACATGCACATGTATGTTTACTGCGGCACTATTCACAATAGCAAAGGCTTGGAACCAATCCAAATGTCCCTCAATGATAGACTGGATTCAGAAAATGTGGCATATATACACCGTGGAATACTATGCAGCCATATAAAAAGATGAGTTCATGTCCTTTATAGGGACATGGATGCAGCTTGAAACCATTATTCTGAGCAAACTATCGCAAGGAGAGAAAACCAAACACTGCATGTTCTCACTTATAGGTGGGAACTGAACAATGAGAACACCTGGACAAGTGTGGGGAACATCACACCCTGGGACCTGTCAGGGGGTGGGGGGCAGGGGGAAAGATAACATTAGGAGAAATACCTAATGTAAATGACGAGTTAATGGGTGCAGCAAACCAACATGGCATGTATACCTATGTAACAAACCTGCACATTGTGCACATGTACCCTAGAACTTAAAGTATATATATATATATATATATATATATATATAGAACTCAATAAAGGATGTTAAGAAGAAAAAAAAGTAGGCGTGAAAGGAAGAGGCAATGGGATATGTCATATTTAATTTGTTTATGTTTAGGTGTAAAAGACTTCAAGTATATTAAAATTATATCACCATCTGTTAATACTACTGGTACTCCACTAACAATAATCAAAGATAACATTTCATAGCATTAAAAAAATTCTGCCTCCCTTAATGCTAGCTGTGGTCATCACCATCATCACCTCCATCATCATCGCTTCTCCCAGTGCTGCTGTGCTCTGGGCTCATTCTGTTTTTTCCTAGCAAGAGTGAGGGAGCCCTGGGCTGGACTGGCCAGTGAGGTGAGGCGAACTAGCGAAATCAGACATGATCAGACATTGAATGAGGCCATCCACAAATTGCACATCACTTTGTGGAGGGCTGATCACTGCCTCCAAAGCATGGATAGAACTCTCCCTGGAAGCTTTTACCTTAACCTATTAATCAGCTTAATGCATCAGGTACTATGAGCATCCAGGAATTCAGGGACCTGTGGAAGCAGCTGAAGCTCTCTCAGGTAAGAACAAGTCTTAACCACACCTCTTTGGAAGATGGTGTAGGAATGGCAGTTCTGCAAAGCTGTAGAAGATACTTCTGTCCCCTTCAGCCCTTTATATCCACCTCACCAAACCTTCTCTATTCTCCCTTCGGTGAGCATTTCCTCTATTGGTCTCTTCCAAACTCAGAGAGCTGGTTGCAGTAGTCTCCTGAAGTTCCAAAACACATATCTGATCATGCTGTTTCCTCACAAAAAGCTTTTTAAGACTCCCCATGGGCTTCAGAGAAAGTCCAAACTCCTTGGCACACTTGGCATTTAAAGTCTTTCATAAATTTGCTCCTTCTTGCTCTTCCAATCATTGCTCACAACTCACAACTCTCCCACTTGTCTCCTGAGTCAGAAAGCTGGAATCACTTTAAAGTGTGGATAATGTGCTTGCACTAAGCACATTTACCCACACCAAGACTGTCTATACCCCATGAGAAAAAGACTTTTTTGTTTCTCAGAAGCCTTGTTCTGTAGGAAACATGAGGCGGTAGGATCCCAGCATGGACTCTGCCATATTCTTA
Source organism: Homo sapiens (assembly GCF_000001405.40). Lineage (NCBI taxonomy): Eukaryota > Metazoa > Chordata > Mammalia > Primates > Hominidae > Homo > Homo sapiens. The sequence goes on along the minus strand of NC_000002.12, from coordinate 31,177,959 downwards.
TCCTGGCAACAGGCCCTGCATGTGGAGCCTCAGATATCTTCAACAGCCCCTCTGCGGTGCTGACAAGGGGCACACAGGGCTCTCAGATGGTGCTTGGAAATGCCTGGCTTCCTGAACCTCTTATTTGGTTCTTTGCAGAAGGTTTTCCACAAGCAAGACCGTGGGTCAGGATACCTGAACTGGGAGCAGCTGCACGCTGCCATGAGGGAGGCAGGTAGGCACAGGAAGAGCTGGAGCTGTGGGCACACACGGGCAGGGTGCACACTCATCAGGCAGAGGAGAGGGGATGTGTGGCATGCTGAAGTAACTCTAATACGCAGTGTTACTCTCAAAGACGTAGATCTGCAGTCAACTCCAACATTTTTTATGATTGTCCCTGTGATCCTAGCCAACATTGATGGAGGGGTGGCACATTCAACTTCTTATTTAATCTTCAACACCACCTTGTTATAATCCTCACTTCACAGAGGAAGAAATTGAAGCTCAATTGCCTGGGGTTTAAATTCAGGACTGCCGGGCTCCCAAGCAGGTACTTTTGAGCACTTAGCAGACTGCCTCCTTCATTGAAGGCTGGTAACATACTTGATGAAAACAGCCTCATGCTGGTTGCCTTAACAGACAGGGGTGAAGAGTAGGGATTAAATAAAATAAATTGGTTAAACAATTAAACCATTCAAAATGAACCCTATAAAAGAAGATTTCCATGCTATCAGGATTCAGGTCCCTAAACTGGAGGGACATTTGAAGGGGCCTTGAGCAGGAGGGGAGCTGGGTGCAAGCCCCCAATACCCACAGCAGGAGCTTGTGCTCAATGCAGGAATCATGCTCAGTGATGACGTCTGTCAGCTGATGCTCATCCGCTACGGCGGCCCCCGCCTCCAGATGGACTTTGTCAGTTTCATCCACTTGATGCTGCGTGTAGAGAACATGGAGGGTAAGCTGGCGGGAAGCTGGGGAGGGCCAGGTCTTCCTCTGCTGCCCCATGACTTCCCACCTGTCCCTAGTTTAAGCACAAGGGAGGACAGCCGCCATCCCAGAAACAGCAGACCAGGGAAGCTGTGGGGACCTCCAGCCAAGTGCCTGTGAACCCTGGCTGCAGATATCCAAACTCATCTTTTCCTGACTTGTTCCAGAGACAAAGGCTTGAAGTGGCTCACTTATCATAGATGTGGCTGCGTGTGGTCACATGTAGGCTGACACTGGGTTCCCTCACGTTTTCAGAATGGATGTGGTTAAGGTGAGACATATGGGAGGAACTAATTCATAATGTTTCCAATAGACACATTAGCTGTATTCCTTTCTGCTGCATTTTCACAGATGTCTTCCAAAACTTAACCCAAGATGGCAAAGGGATATACCTCCAGAAGCCAGAGGTAAGACTTGCCCCAAGGAGGTGGCTCATGTCATCTTACGTAGAGGTGGCCCTTGCGGGACCATGCTCTTGTGAAGGAGAAGGGCTCTGGGGACACTTTATTCTGCTGAATTGGAAATTGAGCACTACATTCATTGCACTCATTCATTCATTCATTCATTCACCCATCAAATATTTTCTGAGCACCCACTTTGTGCCAGGCACATATGAAAGGTGTATCCAATAACTCTGATTGCAATAATGCCATGTGACAAATTTACAAAACTTCAGCAGCATATGTATGACAAGCACTTATTTAGCTTCCGAGTCACATGGCTGGGAGTCAGTGGATCTCAGCTGGCTTGCTCATGTATCTGTGGGTTGGCTGAGGGTTTTGCTGGGTACCTGAACTGAGGAAACTCTGCCTAGGTTTGTTCTTCCCAGGGAAATGGGAGAAACACAAGCAAGCAAGCTTAAACACAGTAGGCCTCTGAAACCAAGGCTCCAATCTGGCACGCCTGCAAGTCATTCTGTTGTCCAAAGCAAGTCAAATGGCCAAGCCCATTTCCTCCTCTTTAATATCACTTTGCAGACACAGCAGGATGTGTTGAATGAATGAAGTGATATGCCTAGGAGAATACAAATTTATGTATGAAACTGATTATCTTCCCTGATCCTTCAAAATGCACTGATTTATTGAGCAGCTGCTTAGGTGCCAGGTGTAGCGCTAGGTAATGTTCATTGCAAGGACATTGGACTCTGGAGTTCAATCCTCTGCTCTTTTATTCTGCAACCCTTCCTCTGCTATGGCCACTTAGAAATGATTCAGTCAAAGCTGGAATGTTTTTCTTGATCTCAAATGTCCATTTTATGGAATTGCTTTCCAAGCTGTAGGGACCTGCAGCCTGTGTCACCCCTCAATCCCTCCAAGATTTGATGTGAAGTGGGATTCTACTGGAGGGCCAATGGCCAGAATTTTCAGGGCCTATCCCTGGACTGCTTAGCCCCACACTTGAGTACTGGGGCATCGCTCCTGATCCCAGGCAATCCTTCCACAGTGGCTGGCTCAGGTCTAGGAGAATAGGACAACACAAATGTGGCACCTGAAATAGGACAGCCCAAAACTGAGCAGGGTCCAGTGGGCAAAGAGCTATCACAGGAAGAGAACTGCACTGGGGTCTGAGAACTGGGTTGAAGCCACAACACTTCTTGTAATTAGCTGTGGGGCCTTAGGCAAATTACATTAAATCTCTGGGCCTCAGCTGCCCCACAGGTGAAATGAGTGGAACTAGATGGTCTCTGAGATTGCCTCCAGCTCTGACCATCTGTGGCTCAGTGAGGATCAGGACCACCCAAGGTCTGCAGGGAATGGCAGCCACCTTGTTGGATTTCACGCTGAGGCTTTCTCTGACACCATTGGTAACTTCACTATTCTCAGCTTTATCATTCTGAGGGATTGGCCTGGGGAGTGGTTTCCCCAGAGGTCCCCTCTATATGAGTTAGAGGGGTTGTTCATCAAACCCACATAAAGCTGTCAGACCAAGGGCCCCATAAATGTAAACGTGTAGAATATGCTTTAATGGATTTCTGCTACCCTGCCAGTTTGCACACCTGCACAGAGCTGGCACAAGCATGCCAAATTGAATTCATGGGAAAAAAATTCATTGAGAACTGAATACAGAATCAGCCTGTATTTGACTGTCATCATTCATAGGCACCGTGAGAAGTCAAGGTTGATTATATTTCAAGTTGATTTATACTTCCTAATGGATGATATGCTCCCTCTGGCTAAACCATCCATTAATGTTCTGTCTCCATGGCTCCCCAGGAGTGTGGGATGGGGAGGCCCAGATGAGACGTGGGTCTGAACTGACCATCATTTGCTTTCCCAACATGTCCAGTGGATGATGATGGCACTGTACTCCTGAGAAGGCTGAGTCTCACCTGCCCTCACTGAAGACTCTGCATGTGGCCCAAGAGCAGCCTTTGGCTGAGACCAACCCATGCCCACCCTACTTACTGATCTTCAGGACAGCCTCACTAGCCGTCACCTTCTCAGCTGGGAAGGTTTCTCTTCTGCAGCCCTCCCCGTGCATGGCCAGCATGCAGAAAGGGAAGGGAGGAAGTAAAGATTACATCAGATTTGTAAAAGCTAGCCATCCTTCCCTGAGGCCACAACCTTGTCACAAGCGGAGATGTTACCTGACATGGCCTAAGCATTCTGACTCCAGAGCTGGTGTGGTTAGCCTCCATACAACACTGCCTCTGTGGCTGCAAACTCAAGTGACTTTAGACATGCCACATGTTCTCACATGGTGGGGTAATCATCTAGGTTTTAAGGTCTGAAATGGGAATGATATATCCTTAGACATTTAGTCCCAGCATCTGCAAATTGATAGAGACATAGGCTAAGTTTCAGCTGTTTGGGGATGGGGTCAGGGATATAGTGGGCTTTCAGAAACACAGACAGTAAGAGAATTGGCAGAGTCCAGGTGGGGTGGGCTGGCTCTGGCATCTGAGGTCATGGGGTAGTCTTCTTCTGACAATATCTCCGTATGATTGGATCTGGGGCAACCTAGTAGATTTAAAACACCTGAGTTCTCAAAGGGCTTCCTGCTTGTGACAGGTGTGTCTATTTGCTTGATATATAGACTATCAGATCCATTTCAAATCTGTCCAGAAATTCTCTGTCTATCTACTTCAAAGGACAAAAACAAACCCATGCTAAATTATAGAGTCAATCAGTGGGTGGTTGGTATATCTGATTTTTTGAACTACCATGAAACACCTTGTTTATGTCATCCCTCTCAACCAAGAATACAGGTGCAAAACCAGAACAATGGCCTTTTTCCAAAGTCTATGCAATTTATTCATAAGTTAGCACCTCAGAGCCATTTATTACTACAGGTTGAGCATCCCAAATCTGAAAACCCCAAATCTGAAATACTCCAAAATCTAAAATTTCTGAGAGTAGACATGAAACTCAAAGGAAATAGGGGCATTTTGGATTTTGAATTTTTGGGTTTGAGGTGTTCAACTGACAAGTCTATAATGCAGATATCCTGAAATCTGAAACACTTCTGGTCCCAAGCATTTTAGTTAAGAGATAGTCAACCTGTATTCTATTTAATCTTAATTTACAAACAATTCTAACAAACATGGCTGTTTGATTTCCAACTCCATAGCAGACTCAGGAAGGAAGCTGAATGAAGAGATAAAAGTGTGTCCATTGGCAGAGGACTAAAGGAGATTTGAGCACCTGTCAGATGGGTACTGTACCAGAAGAAAGGAGCACTTTGAAAGCGTAGCTTATGGGGTAGGAAAGTATTTTATTTAGGAAAAAAAACCCTTCATTTATTCCAAATGATAAAATGTAAAATGGGTTTCCATAAAGTGCCAGATACATGAGATGTTGTTGATTTTATAAATGATGATCATGTATTTACAGCCTTTTACAGTTTTTTATATCCATTGACTTATTTGTGTCTTTGTCTTTAAAATCTGCCATTGCAAATAGCTGTTTTAATAAACCAATTTTGCCTTGGCCCCTGAAGGCAGTTTTGGAGATATTTTTGGGTGATGGGAGGGTGACACCATGATCCTACTCATGACATTTAGACTATAGTGTGCTGGCTGTGTTGGTGCAGATAGATCTATCTCCACATTGATTAAGCCTGAGAGCCCCTCTGGTGACTTCTCAGTGGGTGGTTTGAGTGGTCCTACATCACTCAGGTGCTAGCCTCACTCTCCTGAGTCTAGGTATCTGCACTGTGGCAACTCAAAGATGACCTGTCTTTGCTGACACCCTTCCTCCAGATTCTCTCCTATACCCCCAAAGCTGAGTACTGAAGACCAGGGGGCAGAGCAATCTCCCCACTCCCACCACGCTTCCCCATCTTCTGTCACTCCAGGGGAAGCAGGGGCGGGAAAATAGAGATCTGGGGCAGGAGAAACTGGGCAAGCACCAGGGTGAAGTCAGCTGAAGGGCTGAGAGTTGACCATCAGCAGTTCTGGAATATCGAAAGCAGAAAGTCTGCCATGAATAAGAAAAAGTGGAAAGTGCAGCCAAGGAGGAGTGAGAAATCACCTGCCAGTGCCAAGGAGGGTGAGGTCAAGGAATCCAGAGGTTGGGTTGTCAAGTCCAGCCCACGCAGGGAAAGCATATCAAAGTGAGGCCTGTTCCAGGCTGTCACAATCTCAGGAAAACAGGACTCTACCTGAACAAGAGGAGATGAAAATACCTACCATTTATTTATCCCTGGTCTTGTTTCTTCTTTCATGTTTTGTATAAAACTTCAGTTATCCAAAGAGAACCTTCTAGATTGCAGATGTGGCCTGGAGCAAGGCACTTCCTGGCTGACTGTAAATAGCACTGTTTTCCTGCCATTGCTGTATTGAGTTAGAGAAATGATTTTGGCTTCCAGGATTTTGAACCTGATGTTTCCCCAATGAAGTATATGTATTTAGATTTATAATGAAGGAAAGGAGGAAATGAGTGTTGTGGGTGATGAGTAGGTAAAAGCGGGCATCATGGAGAAGCAGGCTGTGTATCAAGCTCTCAGGATCTCTGCAAAGATGGTCCTTTGGGGTCACTGGTCTCAGGTCCTGGGTTACCATCTTTTCTCCAGTGTCCTGAGGACAGAGAGGCTACCAAATCCAACAGAAATGAAAGAGAAGAGAGGTGAGAAGATGCACTCTAGCTGTGTGACATTGGACCTCAGTTTATTCATTTGTAAAATGGAGCCCAAATGCCTCCATTCCTGGGTCATTGTGAAGATTAGATAATGCCAGCAGGCTGTAGGCACCCAATGAATGAAGCTCCAATTTTTCCCCTGAGGTAGAACAAGTAATTTCTACAGCTACTATTACTTATTTTTATTTTGGTTTTTAGAGGACATAGTGAAACACCCATGGTTTTATGCTCTATTTCTCTTTTCCTCATCTTCTTCCACATCCTCTTTCTGAATGTATCAAACTACTTCCTTGAAGTGGGGCACCAGGAGGGCCACTCCAGTCTCCAATGCAGGGACTCAGGGGCAGGGATCTCTGAGAAAGTGGCCATCTCGTTATTAAAGCTCTGTCCTCTGCTTCCCTCTCACCTCAGAAGCAGCCCGTTTATTCAACAGAGCTCCAGGTTGCCAGCTAGGGGTTTTCGGGACCATAGACCAAGCAACCCCGAGAGACTGAGTACTGACCTGCAGTTGTTCCAGAAACTCTGCTGGGAATTAGGTTGTGACCTAGAAGTGAACTGACACTAACAGTGAGAAGGCAGGGTAAGAATGCAGTCTAGAGCGCAACCTTTCTCCACTAGACTTGTAAGTAATTTAAGTGAATCCTGTCCCCCTGGGGTTCTATCCTGGCTGGCTCTGCTGGTGAACTTGACTGGCCAGCATAGGGCACTTGATGAGACCCTGGAATGCTGAGGCCAGTTGGGCAGCAAGCTTTCACCTCATCCTTCTGCCCATCTATCCAGCCATTCAAACATTCATTCGCCTGAAGACATTTATCAAGCTCCTGCAATGGGTCAGGCATCTGCTAGGCACTGGGGACACAGAGCTCACAGTCTCCTGGAGGGGGTGAGAGATGACTGACAGGTGGTCTGTGGTGCAGTGTGACCTGGGAATGCACACAGTACTGTGGAAACACGGGAGAGGCATCTAGCACAACCTGAGAGGGCCAGGGGAGGCTTCCTGGCAGGTTTCCCTTTAACCATCTTAAGGGAAAGAGGCACTAGGTAGGAAAATAAAGGGACAGTGGTGTCCCAGACAGAGGGCACTCTACATGGAAAAAAAAAAAAAAAAGAAGACACTAAAGCAAGGGATGAAATGGAGTGCTTGGAACACAGCAAGAGATTCAGAGAAGCCAGAACTTATCTCTGTTGCAAGAAAACCAAGGCTGCTGGGGCAGGCAAGGGCTGATCCCTGCAGGATCTGCCATGGAGTCTGGGTCCTTTCTTGAGAGGCTGAGCCATCATCCAAGAAGTCTAAGCCTGGTCATGAGATGCCCAATCCTTTCCTCTACACCAGAAAGGCTAGGAAGTTAACAGAGTACAGGGGGAGGGAGGTTCAATTCCCTACATTGGCCCTTAGTTCAGGGGACCTTGATCAAATAGCTTAACCTTTTTGAATCTCTACAGCTTCATCAGTCACATGGTGATGACAATATCGACCTCATAGGGCTCTAATGCAGGCTAGATGAAGTAACATATGTGAGCATTTATGGCATTTGGCAGTGCACTTAAAAACGGTGAACTCCACAGACTTCTTTGTGGGGAGGGCACCTTCCTTCCCACTTTTGTGGTATGTGCAGTGGCTTATGTCAACGCTAGGTGGTGCACGATCCCCACACCAGGACATCTTCCAGCTACAGGACCACAGATGACAGTTTCAGCACAAGCTCTTCTGGGAAACCCTGGCTAATGGAATACCTTGCCAGCCAGACTCAGCCCAAAAGGCCAGCTTCAGCCTCACATGGATTCACTTGTCTCTCCTTGTCTCTTTTTTCTGACTAGTGTTTAATTTATGTACTGTACTCTATTTTATATATTGCATTTGTTTCTGAAATTTCTTTCATTTACTTAAGTGCTCAGCTGAAGTGCATCTCCTTGAGGGATATAGCGGCACCCAGCCCATACATCCTGGCATCACAGCACCTGGTTTAGCACATAGCTCATGTTTAATATTTACCAATTTAATGAATGAATGACTTTAAAGTAATTCAGGTGAATCCTGTCATTTAAAAAGTCAGTCTCTACTCAAGTTGCTAACTGAAAATATCAATATATAAGGTTTGCCTAAAGAGACATGTGACTTCTCACTAAAGGGTCCCTCTCTGGTGGCCTAAAGTTTAGAGTCATTCTGATGCCAAATGGCAGGTCCTGACTGAAGAGGCAGTTCAAACCATCACAGATGCCCTCTGAACACGTTCTTCATATCCCGAAATTCAAGATACTAGGGCATCACTTTCTTTTACCCATTCAGAATTCCTTCTCCTGGGAGGATCAACCATTGGGTCAAGTTCCTGAACCTTTTGCTTTCAGGTCGCAAATCACAGAGTGAGTGGTGGGAGGTGGGTGGTCCTGGGCCAGACCCAGGCTCGGGAGAGGCCTGGTATTTAAGCCCCATGCTGGCTCCTGTCTTTATCTTCCATTTTAAGCCTGGGCTTGCATGGTTTCTCCCACTTGCAGAAGAAAATTATGCCAGAAGCCGCATAGCTCAAGACAGGTAGGGTGGGGTGTTGGAAAGGGCAGGCCTCACCTTGACGAGGGGTCTGGGTATTTTTGGTTCTTAAAAGCCATCCATGGAGGCTTCAACAAGTTCCCTAACTTCTGAATTCATCTATTTTAAAAAGCAATTGTGTGCTATTAGAGGGGGTTGGACTGTATAACTTCTAAATCTGCATCTGCCTGGAGATAGCAAATTTGCCAAGAGCACAGGCTGGCCTTTACAAAGGTGCCCGCCTAAGTCCAGCTGTGTCAGTTACCTTTGGCGAGTCGCCACTGTTTGACTCTGTGGTCCAGAGGCCCCTGTGAGGATCTCGTGCCACCACACACATAAGCTGATTGGCATCATGCCGGGCTTCAATGTGTGGTTCACTGTTACCCTTCACAGCCATGTTAACTGCACAGGAGAGTCCCACCTCCACTCTCCAATGGTCTGGGAGGACCTTTCTTCAATAGGGGAGAAGCCAAGTGGTTTCTGAACCAGAGAAAACCGGGCGCTACCATCCTCTGGTGCCTGAAATCCGAGCTTCAGCTCTGCTTGGAAACATCTATTTGAGGACTTTTGGACAAAGGAATCATTTCCCAGAAGGGATCTCTTGGCCAGATGAAATAATTAAAGTGATCCTTGTTTTTAGTTTGACTTCCACTAGCCTCACATGAAGTCTCACCTGAGGGGGAGCCTCACCAAGTGTGATGTTCCTGTCATCCAGCTATCGAGACCCCTTGGGTCATTGGCAGCAACAGCAAGAGGCAGCTCTGCAGAAGCTGTGCAGCCAGCAGCAGCAGCAGCACACACACAAGCAGCCCTGGTGGCCCAGGCTGCGGGACCCCAGGCCAGCCCCCTCCACTCCTTCACCCTTAGTATCACACACCGTTGGAGAAGTGGGCCCACGTCAGGCCCTGCGGAAGGCTGCCTGGTGCACAAACGCTTACTCCTCTTTCAAGTGGCTTTGGGTTCCTTGGTTGCAGCTTTGCTGGTTGACTCATACAGAACATTCTTTCCCTGGTCCTTGGCTTCCTTGACAAGGGAGGACTCAGAGATTGTTAGAGTGCCCTTAGCATGGGGTTTAATGCTGAGAGGACTATGGTGTTCTCAGGGTGCAGATGCTCTTCTGCTCAAACTGCTGCCCTTCTGCCTAAGCAGATAAGCTTCTGGAGGGACTGAGCTGCAAGGAAGCCTCCTGTGGACTCCCATTGTGGAATAAAGACCATGCAGTGAGGTCTGCAGGCATTGACTGGAATAGGCCCTGTGAGATTGCTGCTCAGGCCTGCTTATTGCTGCAGCTCCTTTCTCTGGGATGTATGTGTGTGTGTGTGTGAGCCTGTGTGTGTGTGTGTGTGTGTGTGTGTGTGTGTGTCTTATACCCAGGGTACCAGAAGTGATAGCTTCTTCAGATCAGACTGTACAAGGCTCAGGAGTCAGAAGAGTTGGGGGTCCTTAAGGGAGTGAAAATAACCCAGGGGTGGGCTGGTAAAACTGGAAATACACTTGACCAGGGGCGAGAGGACTGGGATGCACGTCCTCTCTGCCACCAAATGGATGTGTGCTTGTGGCCTGTGGAAAGTCATTTAACCTCTGAGCCTTAGTGTGCTCATCTTCTGAATTGGGATGTTAACTCCTGCCTCGTGGGACGGTGGCAAAGATGAAATAAGATTGTGAATGTGAAAGACCTTTGCAGACTGCAAAGTGGAGTTCAGAATTGGGGGTTACTATTCTAGTAAACAGACCTGGTGTAATGTGCACTGGCTGGGCTTGGAATGTTGGATTCTGATCTAGTAAATAAAAAAAAAAAAAACAAATCAGGAGGATAATTGAAACTAATAGTAGAAGCAAATGGCTTGTGAGCCATGTTAGGCATAGATAAAGGACGTGATGTGTATGTGTGTATGCACAGATAGGAAGGGATGAAGGAGCTGAGTGGGCACTGAATATTCATGACACACACTAAATATACATGAGGTACATGAAGCACCAAGTGTTCAGGTTACATCAACCACACGCGAGACCCATGAGGCACTCAATATTCAGTGAGCCACCCATTGGCAATGCCATGAGCCCCTAGAAATACAGATAAACACCCATGGCTTTCAGCAGATAAATTGATAAGCTACATCTGTGGCCAGTCGTACTTGTCCCATGTCTCTCTGATGGGATTGGGCCCCAGGCACCATCTGTCTTTTGTGCCCCTTGCTCAGACCTCAGCTCTGGTATTTGTAATCACACCATGAGCAGGAAGTGCTGGTGGAGTTCAGGACATGTAAGCATGGCATGACTCAGGGTGACATATGTTTTCCTTCTGTCCTCTCTTACAATGTTCTAAGTGTGTTGTCCCACCCTGTCCCTCTCCCCTTGCTTCTTGCTGTATGTTTTAAATTGACCTATCACCTATGTGATCTCAGCCCCTTTGGTCTCTGAGCCCATCTGTTTGGTCACCAGAACAGCTAGTTGGTAGTAGACATGGAGGATACCATTATTGCAAGGTCACTTCCCCCCATGACACTTGGGGCCAGAACCTGGGAGCTGGAGCTCAGGGCAGTAGAGCTGTTTACTTCCAATTGTCTGGCTTGGCTTCTGAGATGTGAGTGTTGTGTCTATAGGTGTGTGAGGGTGCAGGGGGAGGGAGTCCCTGCTGGTTCCTCTGATAAGGCCTATTAGTCCCCCTTCCCACCAGCCCTCATCACAGTGGACCATCCCTGAGAGAGAACGCTGAGCAATGCCTACGACCACATGCCAAGGACAGCTTCCCAGTGACCCTGGATTTCCCTCCCTAGTCCTAAAAGGACAGAAAGTGAAGTAATTTTAGCAACCACCTGGCAGACCCTCATGCCCTCCTGGCCAGCCTGACCTATGTTCCAAGAACATCACCCTCCTGTAGCTCCTCCAAATGTCATCCATGAGAAGCCACCTGTTAGAGTCCAGCCTCAGTCACTTATTGGCTGTGTGACTTAAGCAGGTCGCCTAAACATTTTGTGCCTTGGTTTCTTCATTAGTATTAATGACATTTAGCCAGCCTTCAGTAACAGCAGACATGCATTGAACAACTTCAAGCACAGATAAGACAAGTAGTCCTTTATTTTTTTATTTGTGTACTTTTTTCTTTAAAAAATATAGGCACAGAGGCACTGAGCTAGATCCTAGCATAGAGATGAAAATTCAGTTCCTGTCTTTAATGAGACGGCAGTCTGGTTGCTCAGTTCATGGTGTGAGGAATACACCTGGGGTGCTCAGATCAACCTCAGAGTCCTGGAAGAGTTCCCAGAGGATGTGGTGCTGGACCTGAAAGCTTAGCCGTACCCAGGGAAAGGAGGATGCTCTAGAGAGGAGGAGCAGCATGGGAAAGGGACAGAGCATTACACCAGAACTCATCAGGAGAGTAATAAGTGGTTGTAAGACAAGTAGTTGTAACAGGACATAGGGCATTTTGGAGAAATCGAGCTGGTAGTTTAGCAAAAGAAATGTTGGCCCAAGTAGAAATGGGAAGAAGTTCAGAGAATGTATTAATAAGTGACCTACTCTAGTTGCAGTGACAGGTCCTCATGACCTACTCTTCCTGGGCTTTCTCTGGTTTCTTAGAACCCCAGAAGGCCCTGGGAGGTTTCTTTCCAATGAAGTCTGCCATCAATCCCCATCCTCATGGCTGCACCATCCCACCTCATGCCATCAGAGACCCAGATGAAGCCCAGGTTGAGAGTGTGGTGGGGAGAGGGGCAGCTTGCAGTGTCGAGGCCGGCCAAGTTATCTCACTCCAGCCATTCAACCTCAGGAAGGACCTGAGAGCAGTAGGGGAAGAAAGAAGAAGCTTAGCCAATTTCAGAGCTACTATTCAGCTTTGGTTTTATCCCACGCAGCTGGGAAGGCATTTTTTTCCCCATTCATCTTGTGAGAAGAAATGGGCACAAGAGATACATCCCAAGAAGCAAATGGGGTCTTCGGTGTATGAGACAAGGTGTTCTCCACCCAGGTTCACACTATGCAAGAACAGGCCCTTGGTCAGGGGCTTTAAAAATCTCTTTTTTGCTACCACAGAATCTTAATGAACATTCAGGGCACTGCTGGACACAGGGCAGGGACGGCCTGGAGGCTCCTTGTAGAGGAAACCATCTTATTGGTAGATGGTAGATCTCCTTGTAGAGGAAACCATCTTACCAACCTGGTCCAGTCAGAAGAGAGAAACCACACAGGAAGTTGAACAAGGAAGTTTAATATAAAGACTTTAAAATTACACGGAGCATTGGAGTAATTGAGGGATTAGATAGTAAAATGTAAGGGGGATACTAAACAATACAATAGCAGATATGGGGCATCCACTACCCTACAGCTGAGATAGAGTGACCAGGAAAGAGGTCTCTGCCCTTTACTTAGAGCTGATCCAGACTTGACTGCAGATGGCAGGGGTGTGGCTCATGGAATGGCAGGGAAGCCACTGTGGTGCTATGCTGCAGAACTTGCTGGAAATCTGTCCCCTAGGTGCTGAGGATAGCTGTTCCTGGGAGGGTTCTCAACAGAGGCACTCTGTTACAAAATTGCTCACTTTATGTGTAATTTCCTCACAACAAAATATTGAAAAGACATGTATTCAGGGGTTGAGATTTAATAAAAGTAATCATTTTTACTGCATCATTGAAGACATTCTGAAATGAAATTGGCTTTTTTTTTTTTTTTTTTGCTGCAAGTGAGTGGTGGTAGAGAACACAATGACTAGTATGGTGTGGTTCCACTGCCTCGATTTGCACACCTTCAGCATAAATGCCAACAAACAAGAATGGAAAATAACAGCTTAGTACTATTACTAAAATGGTTTTGACCTCACAGGCCCCCAAAAGGATCCTGGAATATCAGGTCCAAAAACCACCTGTGGAGAACTGCTAAGCTAAATGACTTGCCCAAGCTCCTAGACTGGGAAGTGATGGAGTCAGAACTCAAACATGGGACTCCTAGCTTCGAACCGTGTGATTTTTCCACAAAACCTGTTGGGGTCCTCAATAAATCACATATCTCTTCCTGTGAGTGTGTGGTGGTAAAGAACACTTAATAAGTTGAGAAATAAAACTAAAGTTCAAATACTATTTTTATTACTGATAGAACCAAGTTAGTGATATTGCATTAGGTCTGTTAACCAAGTGGGCATGTGGGCTTGATAATTCCAAACCCCATCAGCCATGCAGCCCAGCCTGGAAAGAGGTCCTGGGGCAGAGGGAGGAGCATTCCCCCAGAGAGGCAGAGCAGAATAGGGGCTCTCTGTGGCTGCTGCCTCCTAGGAGATAGGAAGACGGAATTAGGCATGGCCAGTTATTCCTAAATCAGTTAAGTCTCTCCACCTTCATAATACAGGGGAGAAAGCTCAGCCATAGAACAGGATTCTCAGATGCTTACTGCACTCATGTTTCATATTTGAAATGTTTTCCCTCCATCTCACATTTGTATCCTCATCCTGCCCAGCCAAATGGTCTCAGTAGCCAATTTCCAGTCATTTCTTGGATGTGCTCAGCATCTCTCCTCTTGCCTTTGCAACTTTCTACAAAATAGGTTAAATGCACTCAGATGCTTTTTTAGACAAAGCATATTGGGAGTATAGAAATAACCCCACCCTTATTAAGAAACAGTGGGGAGGTGGGGAAGAGAAGAAGTCTAGTATCTGATTGAGCCTCTGAGGGGCCATATTGTGATGGGGACTTCACAGCTCAAGGCGCAGGTGTTCACAGATGTCCAGAGCAGGGCACCCAGAAGTGACCAGCCTCTGGAAAACTGGGTCCCCACTGGTCCTGTTCATGTCCTTGTAATGTATCAATCAATCGTCAATGAAGGATGCCCCTTTAAAATGACCAGATATTTATGTCTGCCCTCCAAGAAGGGCCATTCCTGGGTACCTGGAAAAGCAAACACATTGTTAGATGGCTAAACAGAGTTAAGGACCCAGGAGTGAGACAAGCCTGATCCCCTGCAGAACAGTGATGAAATATCTGTGCTGCCAGATGTACACAGCCTTCCTCCCCTGGCCAGCCCTCCACAAGCACAATGGGCTCTGCTTTCGAAGACTCCATAGTGACCAGCTGTCAGCTCCTTTCATCCATCTGCTTGTGCTTGTCATGACATCACCTTCTTCATTTTAACACATCGCCCTTTCATGGCAGTCCACTGTGTCCGGGTTTACACATCATTTTATGTTGATTGCATTTCTCGAATGGCTGCTTCCAGGTGGCTCACTCCCAGTCACTCCCACAGCAGAATTTACTCCTGCGAAGATTTCCTTTTAGACAGTTAATCCCTATCAGGAGTGTGGATTCCCATTAGGCCTGATCAAAGCGCTTCCAGAAGACTGCCCTGCCCTTAAAGCACCACATGTGTTGGTTTATTTAACTAATAGCTGCTGCCCTTAATGTTGCCAGGAGCCCATGGGGGCTTACATTAAATATTCTTTAAGCCAGAAACAATAGAAAGTGTATATGGGGCTTAAGCAGAGCCATCCTTTGAGTTTAAGAGTTTGGGATTTTGAAACTGAAACCTTTCCCTCCATCTCCTTACAAAGACTTTTTTTTTAAAGTAAGCAAACAATTAAATGTTGTTAATAGGCATTTAAGAGCTAATCTTTAGAAGAAACAAAGCCTTAAAGATAACCCTAGGTCTTTCCATTCAAGTGTGAACTCCCCCTTAAAACCCTATATTTAAGAAGTTTCATTTGGAGATTATCTATTTGTTCACTGTAGCTTGGTCTCTTAATTGTTTATAAGAGCTCTCACTACTAAAGCCCATTCCTAAGGAAAGTGGTCTATGAAGGAGCCAGTTTGCTTAAAAACCAGGCTCTTAACTTAATTGAGTACTTGGTTTAAAAGAGTTGACTCCATGCATTTGGGTAAATTTACATGTTGTAAGATGCCTGGACACCTTTTTGTGTCCAATCAGCTTCCAGGATCCATAGATCACTGTTTTCATTTGAACACATTGCACTTTTGCGTCATGTCATATTTCTCAGGTTTACAGATAACTTTGTGTTGGTTGCATTTTAGAACAGCTTGTCCCCTGGGAATGGAGGGAAGCACCTTAATTCAGCACTGAATCTGAAATTCTGGGGCCAAGATATGAACATCCATGTTTTCACCGAAAGCTTTTTCAGTGATTCTGATGTATGTGAAAACTAGTGTTTCAGAACTTACCAGACAACTTCTGTCACTTCTGGTTTGTTCCATCCTGCTCTAAGATGTGTCTTAGGTTTGCAGGACTCACCAGACTCTTAAAAGATTTCCATCAGAAAGGCAGTGGCAACCTTGAGCTTCCAGCACAATGGAAAATGCCTAGCAGTTTGTACAAGTCTGCGTGCTTCCTCCTGCCCTGCTCCCTGGAACTTGGGCTTTCTTCAGGGGTTCCCCCAACCCTGAAAGTGGATCTGAAGGTGCTGAATTCAACCTGAGGGCAATGTGTGTATGTTGTAGAGAAGAGGATAAAGAAGCGAGTGTTTGGTTTACTGGCGCTGGCATACACACATTAATTTAGGGTCTTCATCTGCTTTGGTAGACAAATCACAAACATTTCCATGAATAACAGCGTCTGTTATGCAAATTGGTTTCCGTCTGCTGGTCTGTTGAGAATAATCTTCCATAATTACAACAGCTATTTACTTACGGGCAAATCAGCTTTCTCACCACCTTCTCCATTCGAGAGAGGCCTCCAACTGCTGCTGGAGCCCATGTGATTGAGGGCTGATGGACTCTGATGTTGTGAGCCTGTTGTTTGAGTTTGTGGGTCCCAGGACAGAAGGATCCACAGTACCGCCAGTCAACGAGTGGGGATTAGGCTCCCTCAGGCTTCTCTGCACTAAGATGTCCAGGACATAGTCGTCACAAGTTTTATAGCGAGTTGAGGAAACAAGGCATGTGGAACTAATGGAAGAGAATTAAGCCCTGAAATGTGTGGTTCTGCTTAGAATGGATGCAGTAAGCATTTAGCAAAGAAGATATTAGTGTGAGCTGAAGAATTAATACTGACACGGCTTATGGAGAGAAACTTGCCCTGGGCTTATGAAGAGGGGAAGGATTCCTGGAGAAGTCTCAGATGGCAAGGACTTCCAGGCCCAGAGCAGAGGCTGGAGGAAGGAATTCATGGAACATGACCTGAGTGCAGAGGAGGTAGGCTTCCCAACCTGGAAGTAACTGACGTGCATTGAACAACTACCCTCTGACCTGTGCCATGGCAGGTTCACTTAGTTATCTGCTAACAATAGTGACATAGGTAGGGGAGCTGAGGCAGGGAAAATTAAAGTATATTGCTTAAGGTAGCAAAATTGGGAAGATTGAGAGTCAGTGTTGGAGATGGAGGCACTATCAGAAGACATGAAAGTTCTAGAAATCTGGGGGGAATCATTGGGATATGACTCTGATGGATCTTGATCTATAGTAAAATGACAATGTTGGGAGGATAAATCATATTGGGGTGCAGTGGGGTAGGGGGCTGGGTTGTTGTGCTTACTTTTCTGTATTTTTAAATCTTCCCTCCCCAACATGTTTTTTTTCCACAGTGATTTTGTAAACTGAACCCAGTAAGAATATTTCCCAGTAGGACAGGGCAGCATTTACTCTCCTGTTTTACAGGTAAGGGGAACGACATTAAGAAAAATTGTTTCGCCAGCCATTTTTATCTTTTTTACTAGTTAGTCCCAGGGTGCTGACTCTCTTGGGATGTGGTCTGTTACTCATAATTAATAATAATGTTGATAACATAGGAAACATGGGAGATTCATTCCATACTTTCTCTACTATCCATAGTACCTGATAGGACACAGTTCTTGTCTCCAAACAGCTTTCATTCAAAGATGGAAGAATTCAAAGTTTTTATTGGGCAGGGGCTTTGGGGGATGCTGCATCACAAGCTGAAAAGCCCCCTTCATTTTCCTGGCTTCCACCTGGGTGAGAAAGGGTCAGAAATCTAAAAGACTGAGTAAACCAAAGAGTGTGAAGTTATGTAAAGAGGCTGCTAATAGATAAACTAAAATTTGAATTGGATTCACTAAATACTGTCTTTTCCCCCACACTATCTAACAGATGGAGGGCAGGATTGAGAAGAGGAGGGGAGGCTTGGAGGGAGATCAGACCAGTTGTTGAGAAAAATAAGGAGTAATGCTTTTTCTGCACAGCAGAATTGTAAGTGTCAGTCACGTTGTGGCCTGATCTCACTTGAGCACAGGGAGTTTTATGGAAGGAGGGATCTGCATATTGTTCATTCACACATTTAGTCAATGAGTATTTATTGAGCACCTACTCTATGCCAGGAACTGTGCAAGACTGGCATTCAGGGATGAATAGACCCCGTCCTGGCTCTCTGTGGTTCACAGTGTAGTCAAGGAGTCCCACATAGCCAGGGAGTTAGAATTAGTGCAGTGATCTGATAAGGAGTGAGTGTCATGCAAACCCAAGGAAAGCTCACAACCCCAGGCCAGGAAGGCTTCCAGGAAGAGATGACATTTACTCACCATACTCCAGCCATGCTGCTCTTCTTGAAGTTGCACATTCCTCCCCACTTAGGGGTATCTGCACTTGCTGTTCCCT
Source organism: Homo sapiens (assembly GCF_000001405.40). NCBI lineage: Eukaryota > Metazoa > Chordata > Mammalia > Primates > Hominidae > Homo > Homo sapiens. The sequence continues at coordinate 31,159,849 of NC_000002.12, read as the reverse complement.
CAGAACCAAATGCTGTTCCATTTCCTTTTGACAGTCTACTCCTATGCTTCTGCAGGTCTTGGCATAAACACCACTTTTTTAAAGAGGCTTTCCCTAACCTCCCTACCCTTAAATTTACACAATGACCGCTCTTTTATTTTTCTTTCCTAATACCTCATTCCTTTCCTTTACAACACAAGTATGTGTATATCTAAGTGAATTTTTAAATAACGGTTTACTTTTTTCACTAGTATAGAAGTTTCTCAAGGTAGACTTTCCTCTACACTGTGTAGTGCATTGTCTGCCACAGAGAGAGCACTCAGTAAATATTAAAGGGGCACACGCATAAAATTACCCCAACACAGGCCACAAGGGTTCTTGACACAAGTCAAGAAGCCCGCTGAATCTTAGTTTCTTCATCTGAAAAACTGGATTTAGGCATCTACTTCATAGGATTTCTGTAGTGTTGTAGACTGAACAATGGACCCCAATGATGTTCATGTTCTAATCCCTGGAACTTGTGGCTATGTCTTTGCAGATGTGATTAAGTTAAGAATGTTGAGATGGGAGGATTCTCCTGGATTGCTCAGGTGGGTCTGGGGTCATCACAGGAGTCCTTATAAGAGGGAGGCAGATTAGAGGGGCATAAGGTGAGGTGACGACAGAAACAGAGAGACTTGAAGATGTTATATTGTTGACCTTGAAGATGGAGGAATGGGCCAAAAGTAAAGGACTGCAAGTTGGATGAGGCAAAAATAGGTTCTTCCTTGGAGCTTTCAGAAGGAACCACTCTTGCTGACTTTTTGATTTTGCCCTGTAAGACTCATTTGGGACTTCCGACCTCTAGAACTGTAAGAGAAAAATATTATATTATTTTAAGCCTCTAAATATGTGGTAATTTGTTGTAGCAGCAATAGGAATCTGATACATATAGAGATCAAATAAGATAATGTGTGAGAAGAGTCTTAGAAAAGCACAAAGCCAGGAATCATTATTAGTTTATGACAGCTCTCTGTTTGTTTATTCCATTTCTACACAGTACTATGTAAGTTCCAGCTATCATAATGAGAGGAGATGCTTGAATAATAGCCCTAAACCCCAAGGAAGGGTATTTTTTCATGGTTTATAATTGCCATAGAGCTTGAAAATCTTCCAGGTCTTATAGTTCTTAATTATGCTCTCATGCATATGCATCAATTACCCACATGCTCCTACCTAGTTTGTTAATGCAAAGATTTTTTTAAAAAAAAATTTGGAATGGTTTCCCCTGCATGCACTTCCCTCTGAAAATATCCTATGAAATATTTTACCTCCACTGCAATGATCTACTTCAGTTGGGACTTGCTTGCCAATCTTCCCCGGCACAACGGAATTAAACCTCCGCTCTCATCTGTTCCAGTCCTGGGGCCTGTTTATTCTACCTGGCAATCCTCTCCACATAACTCCCAATGGCTTAATTGCGGATTTGGTTCTCTGGGTTTGTGCCTGCTTTGCTGGGTATGGTCTGCAATCCAGGAAAAACCAGGGAGCGCCTGACCTAGAAGTTTATATTTAAATGGCAGTGGAGGAGGAAGAAAGGGTGTTGATGGTTTTGCTTGCTGTATCTCCCTGTTAGAAGTGGCTTTGTTGGGTCTGTGATTCAAGCCCACTAAATTCCAGGTGAGTCTCTGTGCTAGAGGGGCGGTTCCCCTTGCAAATCAATGACTTTGCCATGTGATCCCATGTAAATTTCCTGTGTGACTCTTCTGGTGACTTTCAGTTCCACCTGGCTCAGTTGCCCAATCTGAAAGTCAGTTCCTCCTCTTCTTTCTGCTCCATCTCTCCTTTCCTTTTCCCTTGTTCTAGAGACAATCATAGAAACCATACCTAATTATTTGTGTTGGGGAAATCCAAATAGATCTCCCTGGGGACATTTTCATCATGTGGACCAATGTTGTTCTCTCGGTGAACTAAAGGATAGTGGTCTGCTCTCAGTTGTTTTTGTGAGAGAGGAGATCTTACCTTCAAAATCTCTAAAATATTTGAGCTATATCATTAGGTAAATCCCTTAACTTCTCTGTATCAAGGTTTTCTGATCTGTCAAATAAAAATAATAACATAATCATGAGGCAGGGTATGGTGCTTCACACCTGTAATCCCAGCACTTTGGGAGACTGAAGTGGGAGAATCATCTGAGTTCAGGAGTTTGAGACCATCCTGGGCAACATAGCAATACCTTGTCTCTACTAAAAATAAAAAAATCTTAGCCAGGCATGGTGGCATGTGGCTGTAGTCTCAGCTACTTGAGTGGCTGAGGCAGTAGGATGGCTCAAGTCCAGAAGATAGAGGCTGCAGTGACCCATGATTGTATTATTGAGCTTCAGCCTGGGCAACAGATTGACACCCTGTCTCAAAATAATAATAATAATAATAATAATAATAATAATGATAATAATACTATAAATATGGTATATCATTGGGAGAATTAAAATAATATGTAAATGTCACATATTGAACATGGTTGTTCTTAAAATACTTGTTTCTTTCTCTGTCACTCTCGTTTTCAAGCTTGAGGAGGCATGTGCACCCCCTATGAGTTTTCTTTAAAGGAAGACTCTGGGCCTTTGGTCTACAGAGCCACATTCAGTTGGTCTTGGGAGAAGTCGGGGAATCTGTACTTTGAACAAGCTTCCTAGGTGTCATTGATGCTAGTGGTTTTCAAATTCTGCTTTTAGAGACTGTTTCATGGGCTGCGAAAGCAATGAGCTTGGACCATAAGCATTTTTAGGGCATGGCCTGTGTGGTGTCAACTTGTGTGTACTCACAATGCCTGTGGCAAAAGAGGTAACCAACACACATTGGCAGATACCAAATGAGTACCTCTGTACACTTTCAGTATTACCTGATGTATTTTTTCAAGTTTTACCCCTCATGGCAATTAGAGGGCTATGTATAAAGTACACTACTGCAACAGCCTATCATCTGAACCTTCACACATATTCCCAAGGGAAGTTCAAAACTCCCATTCCCTCCCTGCATTCCAGCATGTCCAAGTCTATCTTTCAGCAAGTCTCAGTTCAAATGCCATGTTCTCTATGAAGCCTTCCCCAGTTAAAGCTAACACTGCCCTCTGCTTCAACCAGTTTCTCTATGTCATTTAAAGTGGGTTAATTCTATCATTTCTTACCTATGTGCCTTTGCTCTCTCAGCAGCTTAGAAGTTTTGATGGTTTTACCTGTAATATCTCACAAATCCATGCCCTTCTCCCATCTCAGCCACAATTGTTCCAGTCCCGGCTCCATTATCTTGCTTTTATTAACCAAAAAGCTAGTCTCTTCTTGGCCTGTCTACACCAATCTAGACCCTTCTAGAAAACTGCTCTCTTTTGGCTGGGCGCGGTGGCTCATGCCTGTAATCCTAGCACTCTGGGAGGCCGAGGCAGGCGGATCACAAGGTCAGGAGATCGAGACCATCCTGGCTAACACGATGAAACCCCGTCTCTACTAAAAACACAAAAATTAGCTGGGCGTGGTGGCGGGCACCTGTGGTCCCAGCTACTTGGGAGGCTGAGGCAGGAGAATGGCGCGAACCTGGGAGGCGGAGTTTGCAGTGAGCCAAGATCGTGCCTCTGCACTCCAGCCTGGGCGACAGAGCAAGACTCCGTCTCAAAAAAAAAGAAAATTGCTCTCTTTTTTGTGGCCAAAGGGGGCTTTTGAACACAGGAGTGTGATAACATCTTGCTTCTGTACTCCTTACTCGCCTGCACTCCCACTTAAAACCCTTCAACAGCACTGCATCTCTGTGCTATTAGGGTAAAGCCTAGAGCTCCTAACATGACCTTGAGAGCTCTGTTGGGTCTGGCTGCCTCCCCTGCTTCTCCAGTCTCATCTTGTGTTATGGCCTGTCACTCAGGTCTCCTTGCAATTTCTTGAATGCAACATGCCTCCTCTGGCCACTGGGCCTTTGCATATGCCTGGATTTCTCTTCCCATCCCAGCTGCTAGACTAGCTACCTTTGTTTTCAGCACTGAGTACAAATCTCACTTGCTCAGGAAAGTCTCCTCTTGAGCTCAGTAGACAGATGGGTATAAAGTACTATGTCACTGTGAGGTTGGGAGACAAATATTTTCCAGTGAGCAAGAGGGTGAGTGCTGTGACTAGGTAAGTGGAGTATGAAGGGGTGGGTGGGGTGAGAGGTGTAGGGTCTCTGGATTGAGATCAGTAATACAGATACTTCATTAATGTTTATCTCCATAAGAGCAAGCCTTTTTCTGTTTTGTTCACTCTGTCTTCTTCACCTTAGCTGGTAAGACTTAACACATACCAGTTGCTGAGTAAACATTTGGTGAATGAATAAATAAACATTTGGTGAATGATGGATAAAGAATGCGCAGTTTTTACTTTGAGTTGGGGCTCTCATTTTGGACCCACTCAGAAAGCATCTGGTTTCATTATGTCCTGGGAATCAGAATTAGGCAACTGGTCTCTAGTTAATAAGTCAGAATTGAAAATTTTGTGAACACTAGTTCATGGCTTAACTTGGACTCAGGAACTATACTGATCAATTGCAATACAACTATCTTCCTTAAATTTAGGTCCTAAAATATTCTAAGAAAGTAAATTTTGCTGAAAAATGACTTCTGGAACAGACTTCAGGAAACAGATGGCTCTAGAGTACTATGTCGATGAGAATTTTGAAGACACAGTGTTTCAGAGAGCGAGATGGTGACTGCTGTGATTAGGTAAGTGGAATGTGGAGGAAAGGATGGGGTGAGAGATGTAGAGTTTCTCAATTGAGATCACATACCCTCCATTCAACACTGAAATCTAACAGTAGAACGTAAGTAGATCTGGATTGGAGGGGGGAGGTGATGGGAAAATAAAGAACACATTCTGGAAAAGGATGTTCAAAAGGTGAAAAGAAAACACGGAACAAGAAGGATTGAATGAAGGGCAGCAGTACCCAGAGACTACAGGAAATAAAAAGGGTCAAGAGAATGGCTGGGCGTGGTGGCTCACACCTGTAATCCTAGCACTTTGGGAGGCTGAGGTGGGCTGATCACCTGAGGTCGGGAGTTCGAGACCAGCCTGACCAACATGGAGAAACCCTGTCTGTACTAATAATACAAAAATTAGCCAAGCGTGGTGGTGCATGCCTGTAATCCCAGCTACTCAGGAGGCTGAGGCATGAGATTAGCTTGAACCTGGGAGGCGGAGGTTGCAGTGAGCCCAGATCGCACCATTGCACTCTAGCCTGGGCAACAGGAGTGAAACTCCATCTCAAAAAAAAAAAAAAAAAAAAAAAAAATCAAGAGATTCTAATCCCAGAAGCTGCCATTGACATAGGTAGGGGTTCTTGAGCCTACAACCAAGCTTCCTTCTCAGGCAATTGCCGGCAGCCCCAATTAAGGAGATTGTCCAAGGCAGTCATAACGGCAATGTGCTCTTGTCCCTTATTTCTCATGCGATTGCCTGGTCTAGAGCAGTTTCCTGAGCAGAAGTGAGCCACCCAGATTCTTCTCTTAAAATCTGAAATCGGAATAGCGAGGAACTAGGAGAGTTATTTATCAGAACCTGAGCCTAAGGTGTATATAGAAATGGGGCCAGAATTGGCTCTAAGGCAAGCCCAAGCTGAAGTTATGGGAGCAGAAACGAGGGGTGAGGAAGCAGATCTGCAGAGAGAAGATAGCCCAGGTCAGAGAGAGGCAGAGATGCAGGACTGTTTGCATCAGGCAGAACAGCAGCTTGGGCCCTGTGCCTGCCAGTTTCTTGGATTCTGTTTCCAAGAGGCCTGCCTGGCTGGGTCAAGTAACTGAGTTCTGTATCTGTTCAATAAACTCTCCTTTAAGTGGGCTAGCTTAGCTTAAGTGTATCTCTCTCTGTTCTCTACATGCAAAAGAAATTTGAGAAGCAATTGGTGGTTGAACATGCAATGGGGCAAACCATTTTAACATGAATTGGGGATGTGCCTGAGAAGACCCAACTTTCCCAAAGGAACCAAGAACACAGCCTTGGAAGAAATGAGCTGGAAATATCGCGCTCATCTGTAAGTAAGCTGAAAGTTAGTTCTTGTGTGTATGTATACAGTGGCATTCTCTATTTCTCACACTTGACTCAGGGAGATTCTCCTGATTGGACATCTGACCTAGTGTGAGTCAGGCTAATGCCCTGCAACAGAGGAACAATGCTATGGTGGAGCCCCCAACACCAAGGTCCCAAGTGGAGACTCTTCTTTGTGACCTTGGGAAGTGGTAGTGGAAATGACCAGGAAATGAATTGGTTTGGTTTTCCTCCCCATGGCAGCCTGGCCTTACCTAAGGGCTTGTAGGCCCTCTTTCCGTGCTTTTCTAGATGATTTGTAAGGGATTGGTACCACACTGAGGCTCTTGTAAAATCACACTGGCTCCTATTCCCCTTGGACAGTGTCAGCCACCAGCTCTAAACGCCTTCCGATGTTCAAGGCTGCAGACTCAGCACCCACATCACTGGCCTACATGTTGCTCAGCAAGTGTTTCCTGAGCATCCCCTGGGAGCCCATTTCTGTAGCAGGTGCTCTGTGCGCTTGGCTTCTACATGTGAAGAAAACAGTTCATTGACTGCTTGATGTGCTCTCCTGTTGGAAAGGTTCTGCTGCTTTGGTGGGCATTGCCAGGGCAACCAGACCAAGAGTCTGTTAATTAATTAATGCAACAGTGATTGCACCCAACCTTAGCTTAACGGAAGAGAAAACTGATTAGAATAATTTGCTTCTTGGTGAGGAATGGGTCAAAGAGAAACGCAGAGTTTTACAGCCAAGTAGAAGCTTTGTCTCAGTTTAAAGCTCACTGGAAAAAAACACAGATAATGGGTGTGGGGGCAGTGATGGATGAAAATAGTTCATCTCATAATCAACCAGAAGACCAACAGCTAAATATTGGAATGCTGCCTTTGGAGAAAAGGAAACCACAGTATCAAGAGTCAATCACAGGTGAGGTTCAATTGCAGAGTCAGGGTTCAGACCCCATGTAGAGGCTAGTCTTCTAATCAGGGATCCTGAAAAGATCCACTTAGAAGGGCTTTGATGAAAACAGTTGGGAATTCAGGAAGAAAGACACAGACATGTATGTTTTGTGTAATTTTTTTGGTTTAATTGTGTGTATATGTGTGTTATAACAAAAATAATTTGTGATTGTCCAAGTTCTACAAAGATTATTGATGGTTTCTTAAGTTTATTTTATACAAAAAAGTACATAATGGTTTTTTACTTAAGGATGCAAATTATTTTTTCCCACAGTCCTGGCTGTCAAAGCACAAAAAAGTGCTTTGAGCCCTATTCCTGAAACATAAGCTTTCTGGTGCACTCCAAAGGAACTCTTTTGTAGGCTGCACTAAGCTAATCAGATACTTTCTGTCTTCAAGATTTTACTCTAAGAAAGTAAATTAGTTAGTATTGAAAGCTTGGATAAGATGAGAAAGGAAGTCACAGTGACTTGGTGTTATGCGCTGTTTTGTTGTTTTTGTTTTTTTTTTTTTTTTTCATGAGAACCCAGAAACAGAGAACAGGACTAGAGAGAAGGAGAATTCATTCGTTCATTCATTCATTCATTCATTATTCCTTATTCAAAAGTTTTACTGAGTCCCTTCTGTAAGCTATACCCTCTTCTGGGCGCAGATGATACAACAGTGAATAGAACAAAGTTCCTTTCCTCATGGAATTTACATGCCAGTGAGGCAAAGGAGAGACAAGAAATAAATAAACATATTATATGTCAGGCAGTAATAAGTGCTATGAAGGAAAATAAAGCTGCTAAGGCAATAGAGATTGAGGAGATTGAGAAGCTGCTATTTCAGATACAGAGGGCAGGAAGGTGAAAGAGGAGAGTAATCCATGTGGACATCCAGGGGAAAGAGCGAAGTGGGTGGCTGAGAGGATCAGGGACAAGCTTCACGTAGTCCTAGAGAAATGGAGACGGGAATCTCAAGATCTGGCCATCCTACCACCCTTGGGTACTATAAGATACTCTGTCATACATCTAATGAATTGTCTCTTTTAGCATAAATTTGAGGGTTTTTCCTTTTTTGCAGCTAACAGATTCCATTTCTAAACCCAGAAGGTGAGTCTACAGCAGTTAGCTATGAGCTACCTAGAATTCCGGCCCGGGCTCCCTAGTCAGAGAGTGTGGCTCTTCACCACCACCTGATGGCAATGTCCTTGAAGCACAGGGGCCTTCACAAGGGCAAAACCCAGTCTGGGAGCTAAAGAGATGCCAAGAGATAATAACTCTGCAGCTGTTTCTTATGCCAGTGTTAGCAAATCTCGAAACTGTAAAGAATTATATTCTTGAAAGCATTAAAAGAGCGTTTATTTGTGCCAGGGTCATTCCGTTTTGGCTGGAGGGTTCAGGGAAACGTGGAGATGTGAGCTGTGATTTTTTGAATTGAGGGCCAGAGCTGGTCCCCCTCTTGGATTCAGTTTATACAGATTACTCCTTGATGTTTCTGAATGATTCTACATGTAAACCTGGGGTCTGATCTCTTTCTGGCCTTCTGATCTCACTATAGCTAAAAAACCAACCAATAAAATGGGAACTCTTTAGAATTACATGGATCCTTGAGGCACACAAGTACTCAAATGTCAGCAAGGAATATATGCAGCAGTGTAGCTGAGGGTTCTGACTGCTGCTGCGCTTGCGTTCAAGGGAAATAATATGTATTGAGTACCCTGGTGCCAGACACTTGACATACGTTATCTCCTATGCCCAAAGAATTTACCCCTTTCTAAAGATGAGGAAACTGAGCTTCAGAGAGATTCGGTACCTTGATGAATAAAAAAAAAAAAATGCTGATTTTGCAGCTGGGCGCGGTGGCTCACGCCTGTAATCCCAGCACTTTGGGAGGCTGAGGTGGGCGGATCATGAGGTCAGGAGTTTGAGACCAGCCTGGTCAACATGATGAAACCCTGTCTCTACTAAAAATACAAAAATTAGCCGGGCGTGGTGGCACGCACCTGTAATCCCAGCTACTCAGGAGGCTGAGGGAGAAGAATTGCTTGAACCTGGGAGGCAGAGGTTGCAGTGAGCTGAGATCACCCCACTGCACCCCAGCCTGGGTGACAGAGCGAGACTCCGTCTTGAAAAAAAAATGCTGATTTGCAAGCAATTGAAGATTTGTCTGGCTGATAAAGCAGGAACAGAATGTTAAAAAGATTTTGGGGTGCTCACAGAGAACCAGGGCTAAGCTTCCAGAGGGGATCCTAACACCGGACTGCAAAACTGGTGTGACGAGGGAACCACAGCTACTCTCACAGAGAACTGCATGCCAGTATCTGCACCACTGCCACTTCTATTCAGGAACTCCACTGGACTGCTTCTGCTCTTGCTGCCAGCACTGTGCTTCTTTTGCACCAGGAATTAGACCTTTACTCTGTCACTAGTCTCACTTCTCTTTTGTCTCACCAGCTCTAAGGTAAAAAGTTTGGTGCGGAGGCTTGATTGGCAGAGTGTAAATCCGGGCTTTAGCTGCAAGGGAGGCTAGGAAACGAAGTAGCTGGTATTTTTCAACTCTGTTGGCAAAGGCTGTTTCAGTCTCTCATCAAAGTGGGGGAATTCCCCCAAGATAGAAAGTGGCTCAGATAGAGGCAGCCAAACAAAAGTCACATGCCCACCAGAGCTGCAGCAGTGACATAGTCAGTGAGGGGTGGGGTTGGTACTCTATTTCCAGAGCCCACTTCATATTTCCTCTTGCAGGGGTGCCAAAGTAGAAGGCGATGCTCACTTTTTAAGACCTTATTGAAAAACCATAGTGTTGAGCATTTTCAATATGCCCAACATTGTCACTAAGATGTGAGGCTATAAAGGTGCAAAAGACATGATGGTTGCCCTGCAAGTGATAGCTTCATCTTCATCACATAGTCCTGAGCAACAGTAATGGATGACTAGTATATTGATTACCTTCGGTACCAGGTGCTTTGTATACATTATCTCTAAAGGCTGACAACAACCCTGCAAAAAGATACTTTTAATACCAGATGATGAAACTGAGACTAGAAAGGTTACATAATATGTTCAAGTCACACAATTAATAAGTAGCAAATCCCAGGGTAGAAAATGAGGTCTCTCTGGCCAACTCCAAACTGGGGAAACTGGGGCCAGAAAGATTCAGTCGTTTGGCAAAAGTCTGCTGTCAGTTGATAGCAGAGTTGGGATCAGAACTCTAGCCTCTGACTCCAGCCCTTATGAGCTGAGCTGACTCCACACTGTGTTCAGCACCGCCTTTTTGTCTGGCGTTGCCTGGCGCCTCTTTACCTTCATCGTTCTGAATGCCTTTTATTCAGTCCTGAGGTTTTTAAACGTGTCCTTTCCAGCTCCATTGTTTTGAGGGACAGTGACCATCTCAGCTGATCCTGCGTGGGAGTGGGGAGATGTCACTGAAGCCAGACCAACCAGAGACCTCCTGAGGGCAGGCTGGAGAATCAGGGCATCAGCCAGGTGATCTGTAAGGTCACAACCTGATCTGCTCTCCATGATGAGGGTTCCTTCCTAGGGAGTGTGACTCCTTTGTGGAGAGAAAGCTCTGGATCTTAACTCCCCTCTGTCACTGCTGGGCTTTGTCTCAGGTGGTCACCTTGACTGCTGGCAAATTCTATCCCTAAAGGACAAAGACAGTCAGCTGGTGATGGTGAACTTCCTAATGAGAAAAGAGGACTTTTGAAGAAAGAACCTGTTCAATGAGCACCATTATTTTTTCAGAGAACCTGTGGCAGGGGCGTGTCATGAGTGAAGTTATGAGGGGGTTCGATGTCTGGTAGGGAGAGACGATATTATAAAAGAGGTCATGGGAGGCCAGGAGAAAGGAGAGATACATAGAGAAAGGAGAGAGAGAGATAATATGAAGTAGGACAGTTGGTTCTTTACATCTTTCTCTCACACCTTCCACTACTGGCCCAGTTTCTACCATGATTTTCTAACCTTAGTTTTCATATTGCCTCTTAGTGTACCCATGATCTAAATCTAAGGGCTTAAACATTATTATTGTTGTTGTATTAGCATCAATGGGCCATTTCCATTCAGTTTCTATAAATGGGATCTCATACCACCTCTCTGCCCCGAATTCTCTCTCTCTGTCTGCGTGTGTGTGTGTGTGTCTCTCTGTCACACACACACACATCCAACACACTAGTGAAAACTGCAGTGTCATTTGCTGCACCCTGGAGATTACTTTGTCTTTGAGAGTCCAAAGAAAAGCCCATCAGCTGTCAAGGGTTTTAATTATTTATTTTTAATCACAAAGGAATGCCTGACTATGTTCTGGTTGTAAAAAAATTCACACAATACATCTGAAATGAAAGTCTCCCCCAGTGAAGAATTTTAAATAGCTCTGGTCCTCACCCACCAGCCCCTGGGTCTGTGGTGGACCAGTGCTGGGAGATGTAAATGGACCTGGTAAAGGTTTGGGGAAACACTGAACTCTTGTAATACAGGGAGGGCTGGGGAAGCAGGGATCACCTGTGAAATGAAATGGGAGTAGTTAATGGAACTTATCCTTTACATTTAGGAGTTGTTGACTTTGCCAGGGATGTGCTCTTCCATTTTTGCAGTTTTCTTTTAAAGGAGTGAGGAAGAGGAGACCTGGGCTCCTGTATCTCTGTAGGGACTCACTCTTTTCTCTAATGAGCTGCCTTAAGACAGCATGCATCACAGGCAGACGCTCAGCATTCTGCTGTACTTGGCCATAGCAAGTGGTAAGACTTTTGTCAAATTCATGTCTTTCTCACCAATATTCTAATGTTGGGTATTTCCTTTATGACTCAATAAGCCCCTGTATAAATTTGCTACGGGGCCAAATTGAGATGAATGCAGAGTTTTAGTAAAGAAGTCAGAAATGTATTGAATGAAAGAAAGATCCAAATAGAAAGTCTCTTGGAGACCATTGATTTAGTTCTTCACTTGTCAGAAGAAGACATGAAAGTCCAGAGAGGTTTGCTCCAATGCCCCAAATCACATAGGCAGAGTTAGGAGCACAGAGAAAACCAGAATTCCGGTTTCAGACTCCCAGCCTAGTGTTGCTTCCATTACGCCAGTGTTGGAATCCAGCCGCCACTGTTAGCTACCTGGAAAACCTGGGCTGGTCTCAATAACCCTGGAGCCCAGTTTTATCATCACTCTATCTCCCTTAGGGTAGCATCGCTAAGAGCATCCAATAAAATTGTGACTGTTAAGTACCACGTAAATAGCCAAGCAATTTTCAAGTACAAAAAAAAATGAACTTCTTTTCAGTTACTGGAAAGACAAGCATTCTTCATTAGTTAGTCATGTACAGTAGCATTTTGTGAAGCATCACCTAACTGCATGTAAGATTTTAGGAATCTGGCCCTGGAAACTTTGCTGTTTTATTTTTTATTTTTTTCTCTTTTTAAGTTTCTTAAAAATTGGTGTTATATGATAATAGGACATTATTTTACATTCATTTAGGTGTGATAATGGTGCTGTGGTTATGTTGGTAGATGTTATTAATTTGGGGAATGCATGCTGAAGTACTTCTGGGTTGTTTAGGGTTATTATTTAAGTGTTATATATTATGACATCTGTAATTTACCTTTCAGTGGTTCAGCAATTATAAACCCATGCATATGTGGGCACGTACATATATATGGCAAAACATTAACTGTTTTTGAATCTAGGTATATTACATGTGTGGGTGTCGAATATACTATTGTTCTATTTTTCCATATGTTTGAAAATTTTTATAATAAAGTGGCCTGTAAAATAAATTCTTCCAGTGATACTGATTCTCTCTGTTTTGAGAACCACTGATGTAGAGCTATAGAACACGTGACCAGTGACAGTCTGTGAGTGGACTCTCCATGTGACTAATTATGACATGGGATTATCTATGCTCCTGGTTCCAGTTTAAGAAGAAAATAAGAGAAAATCTTTTAAATTTCCTCCTTGATGTCTCATCAGAATTGGAGCCGCTTTTCCTCTGCAATACTGGTAAGGTTCTATTTTCCTTTGCTTTGTTTTGACAGTCTGATTTGTCTGTTGCACTGAAATATTGAAACGGTACGCCATCTTTCCCATTTCCAGGGAGGCCTACAGGTGGAACTGATTGGACTTGAAGGTATTGATTAGATCAGTGGTTCCCAAACTTGGGTGCCTAGAGACATCATCCATAAAATTTCAGCAGGCTTAGGGTGAGGCAGTGGCATGTGACTCTTAGCAATAACAAGAGATAATTCTAATGTATATCTAGGTTTGAGACCCAGTGTTTTAAACTATGATGACAACAAAGTCAAGGTCATGGGTTTGGTTCCCAATTTAAGAGATATTTAGCTTTTCATGGAGAAAAGTTCCATTCCATAGTTACATTCTCTACACCATACTCTGTTCTACCATTTTAAAATACGGGTCCTGGTAGAAAAAAAATGAACCAGGAAAAAGAAAAAGGTTTTAGGAAAAAGAAAAGGAATTAGGGCAATTTACAACAATGACAACAACATATATATATATACATATATGCACAAAGTCATATATGTATGCACAAAATCATATATATATAAAAATATGATTTTTCCTTCTTGTTAGAATTTGGTATATTCTGTTACAGAGGTGGCTGCATATTATTGATGGGTGAAAAGAGGTTTTTATTCGTTGTTCTTTCATTACCAAATGTATCAACTACCTCAGGAATTTTGGATGAAAAGGTAAAAATGTTTTGTCAGCATCAGTGAATCGTGATAAAAATGAGTGATGTTTTTAATGAAAAACACTTGATGAACACTTACCAGGCAAGCATGAAAGGAGAAATTGAACCTCAGGAAACAGAAAAATGAACCCCCACTCACCAAACCATTTTTGTTATTAACACTTTCTGGGGCCTCTAAAAGAAAGGAAATGCTGTAAAGGAAAACAAGAGCAGCTCTCTGGCACGGCCTTGGTTTCTGCAGTAGGAATCAGCAGGATCCTTCACCGGCACACCATAAAGCAGCTTCCCTTGTTCTTATGTAATATGTCTTTGCAGCTTAAACCTTTAATTAACCAGAGATGTCATCAAGAAAAGTTTGCTAAGGAAGAGGATGCCTGGTTTAATTAAAAAGATCTTTAATAGTTATTAAGGAAATCAATTTGGAATTCAGGCCTGAGAGCAGTGATGGGGGAAGAAATCACTGAGAGGAACTTCTCCATCTCTCTGGGTAATGGATTTTAACCCTTTGATCTGATCTGCTTTACAATCCCCAGGGCAGTGGTCCAGGGCATGGAGAGGGATGCTTGTCACTCATCATTTTTAAATCTACATCCCAGATGTAAGAGAGCAGTTCTGCCTTACATGGCAGAAGCCCAACCTTTCTGGAATGCAGTTATCCTGGCAATTGAAAGAAATAGGAAACCTTTATAAATTGAAAATCTCCTACCTCATAAGTATAAGCTATTTTTTTCCCCAAAGAGATGCATTATTTCTCCCTGAGGATTTGCACTTGGACTGTACATCAGGCGTTTTCCCATTACTGCTCCAACTGGCCTTCTTCGGATCAAGCTAGAAAAAGGGATTTGGCTCTTTGGAGCATAAGAGAAATATTATTTTCACTTGTCTCATGAAAATGATGACACAAAAGGTGAAATAGCCAGAGGATGGGCAAAATAAATTGTCTGTGTGGCAAAAACTGTAAAAGGAAAAGAGTTTTTCTTTTAAAAAACAGCATTCTGCCAACAGGGGAATGATATTAATATCATCATCTGACGCAGCCCAGTTGAGTTCAAATGCTGAAAGCACTTCTCAAATAATCTATGTTTAATTAACATTTGCACAGCACTTAGAGAGGGAAACTGAAGACAGGTGCAGTGCAGAGCTGCAAAAACGACTTTCCTGTTGCAATGTAGCTATTTCTCAGGTGGACTGAAGCGCCTCTATCTAGGACTCAACATTACTCAACAGAAACCCAAGAGGAAGGACTAGATCTTTTAACACTCAAGGCTTTATTCAAATCACCAGCTTACATTTTCTAGAAGAGCTGGAACAGGCCTTATTTATTTGTATTCCTCACAGCAAATTGCCCAGAGTCTTGGTCACAGTGTCTTTGTTCATTGTTTTGCTCATTACCTAGAAACTTCTGGGCTTAGCAGCCTCCCCATCCCACCGTAGAAATGCCTCAGCTCCCTGATTCACTTGTCCTGTGAAACCTAGTGAGGGATGTCACTTGGGAGCAATGTTGGGTAATGCAGATATGTTATAGCCCACAGTTTACCAATGAACTCATCTTGCTGTAGGCAGTTCGTGCAATTTCTCTGGGCTCCACTTTTCTCAATCACAAAATGAGGAGTATTGAACTACATTAGAGTCTAAGGCCCCTCCTAATATAATCTGGTGTACTCTTTACCCTTTGTCCTAGCTTGGTAGATCTGTTCCCACATTAGAAGATGGAAACCAGGAAAACTTCAGTACTTATGGAAACACTGGTGGCTGGAGTAGAGGTTGCAAGCTGGCAAGCAGCAGGCTGGATTCAGACTGCAGACCTGTTTATTTAGCCCATCCAATGTTTTGGTGGGCTGGTGGTGGGGGTGATTGAATTAATCGATAACAGTTAAAATCCAGGAGGTTTCACATCGTCATCTGGACTTATGCTTTTGTTGAGGCTGGAAAACTCTGGCAACACTTTACTGGCACTGGCAATGATGAGTTGGAGCTGATTCCTTGCTAGTCCAGTGTGGGCCCCGCTACTCCCTACTGTGTCCTCAATATGAAGGTTGAATAGCAGTTTCATTGTTGTCATTGTGTTTATGCTATTTTTCCCCCAACCCTATCTCATTTCACTCATTCATGTTACTTTCATGGCCCATGTAGGTATGTGGGTGAGAGGAGGAGGTTGTTGGAAGAATGATTGGAGTCTGGTGTCAGGAATCCCTTGCCCTTCAAAGAGACAGTGTGCTGCTATCTGGCTGCTTCCATGAGCTGCAAAGTGGGTAAAACATCTTCAGTTGGGTGGATAGGATAAGACTGTCATTGACTGATATGCGCAACCTAATTACTTCCTTAGTTACTTAAAGCTGGCTTCATTTGTCCAAATTGTCTCTTCTTTGGATAAGCATCTTGACTATTGTTTACTTAGAATAATGCCCCACATGAACAGAGTATCCCAAGTTCAGCACACATACAAAACAACTTAAATAGCAAACCCACATTTTTACTCATCTAAGAAAAGCAATCTTCCTTCTAGAACCATCACCAGAAGTCCTCCTGTTGATTAGAGTGGCCTCTAATTTATTGTCTAAAATAGAAATTTCTTGAAAGTAAAATGAGGCAGTATAATAATTATGCCAGAAAAATCAGAATAAACCAGGAATTTCCCAAGCAAACTGGGGCATAAAGCCACCCTGCTCAATGTGCAATATCTGGTAGTGACTTGATGACAAAATCTGCTGTCGGTCACTAGAGATTATACTGGATTGTCCCAGGTCCACTCCTGGGGTATGCTTGGCTCCTCTTGCTGCTGAAGTCCTAGCCAGACTGGAGAGGCCCCATCACAGTTCTATTCCTTCTTGGATTTGAGCTCTCCTGCCCACTTCTACCTTTCACTGATGCCTCTAAGCTTAAGCCTAACAGGAAAGACTGTCTTTGTCAGAGATAATGCAAGTGGCTCTCAGATTTGGTTGTCTGAAATTGGGGACCTGGGGAGTGACATCTGTCCTTAGATCCTTCTATTTCTTCTGCCTGTGCTGCCCTCTGTCAGAGTCTCCTCTAGATAATTCAAGGGAAATAATTTTCTTTTTCTTTCTTTTCTATTTTTTTTTTTTTTTGATGATGGAGTTTTGCTCTTGTTGCACAGGCTGGAGTGCAATGGCGTGATTTCAGCTCACTGCAACCTCCGCTTCCCGGATTCAAGCCATCCTCCTGCCACAGCCTCCCGAGTAGCTGGATTACAGGTGCCTGCCACCATGCCCGGCTAATTTTGGTATTTTTTAAAAGAGACGGGGTTTCGCCATGTTGGTCAGGCTGGTCTCAAACTCCTGACCTCAAGTGATCTGCCCGCCTCGGCCTCCCAAAGTGCTGGGATTACAGGCGTGAGCCACTGTGCAGGTCTCTTTTACTTTTCTTTAGGCAAACTGGGTCACACCTTCATGCTAGAACTTTGCATATTCTATAGGGGCTGGGGGGGGGGTGGGGGAAATTTCTCAGATCACCACAGGGCACCATCACTGAAGATCAAACCACTTTACACAACCAGCAAAGACATATCATTGTAGCAGTATTAAGTTTTACACTTGGCATTTGGGTGAGAAACAAAGAAAGTTTGGGGCATTTCAAACAATAAAAGAAGCAGGCTTTTGAAATGCAAAGATATAGATCCCTTTCAAGGAATCGAATATAAGAATAAAAGGAGGGAGAGGAGTTGAGGGTAGTGGGCTGGTGAAAGGAGTTGTTTAATGGAAAGAGAAAGATCCAGAAAGGTGACTGTCAGATCCCTTAGATAAAGCCACCCATCTACCCGTCAAAGATGAGAGGAAAATCCAGCTGGCTTTATTCTTTTGACAAAGATTCACTGATGTGGCAGAAAGATGAGGTAAGGGGTTGGTAATAGCTCATCCTCATTCACCACGTGGTTTAAACTATTCCATCACTCACTCTATAAGAAAGCCTTGCAGGAAACCCAGGACATGCGGTTTTGACAGGATCTATAGTGGCAAGGAAAATGGAGAGGAACACAGAGGAAAGGGGAGCTGATGTATTATTTACAGTGGAGAACTTGAACAGAGTCAACTGCAGGAGTCAGCCCAAAGACTTGTATCTGTATGACTGTGGAATAAAGACAGACAGATCTTTGAATTTTCACTGCCGCTCTTTTTGCTGCTGGGCCAGCATGTGTGCGACTCATCTTCTCACTGTGCTGCAATCTGCCCTGCTACTGCTTACCTTTCCCTATGGCCCAGAAGAGGTAAAGACCTCAACAGAAACCTGTCTGGGCCTCTGTGGGTGAAATTTCGTTAGGTTGGCACAGAGGGTGTCTCGCTGATTGTGACAGGTCTAATAAGCGTGCAGATGGCAAGAAGCACACACACAGCCACTCGCGCACACACAGCCTCCCTGAAGTCATGCAGTGGGCAGAGAGGAGGGACTCAGAGAATCTGATCCAAAAGGAACAAAGGCTGCAGCCTCTGCAGTGGGCTGAGCGAGAATGATGGGGAGACGGCTACAGGAAACGAGAAGCGAAGTGTGAGAATCCACAGCAAAAGCCGCCACAGAGCATATGCATCGGACTTCACAGCTTCCTCCTGCTTCCAGCTTGCATTTGCTCCATATGCTGCTTTACACTGCTTTCCGGGCCATAATGGGTTTCATTCCATAGTTTTTATACTAACATGAATGACTCACATCTGCTCCAGTACCCAATTTGCTCTCTAATGTCTTCGGCTGTGAGGAGAGAACAGCTTACACAGAACTCGCCAACAACAGGAGTGGTAAAGAAGGTCCTGATCCAGGACAAGAAAGGTCAGAACCCTAAATGCGTCAGCTGGGAGGGTCTTTGAGAGAACATGACATTGCCGATGGGAAACCACAGACCCAGAGGAATGAGGAGCTTGGCTCAACAATATCAAGACTGAGGAGGTAGATCTGTTTTAGGAGATCCAGGAGAACCAGGAGAGTCCTAGTTCAGAGTGTATTTATTTTTTTTCATTTCCTGCCATGTTAAGTCTTTTGCTAGGAGCTTTTCCTCCCCATATTGGCTGTGATAAGAAAAAAGTAACTTGGATTAATCGCCAATGATAGCTAATCCCCCGCTGGGATCAACCATACTCTGCATTACTTAAGCTTGTTATTTTATTTATTCATTTTTTGAGACAGGGTCTCGCTCCATCACCCAGGCTGGAGTGCAGTGGTGAGATCATAGCTCGCTGCAGCCTCAAAATCCTGGGCTCAAGTAATCCTCCTGTCTTAGCCTCCCAATTGGCTGGGACTAGAGACACCTGCCACTTCGCCTGGCTATTTTGTTGTTGTTGTTGTTGTTTAGAGACAAGCTCTCGCTATGTTGCCCAGGCTTAAAGCTGGTTATTAAAGCGTTTCAAATATATTCCTGAGCATGGGGGACCCCTGGATAGACTGGGTTCCTGGAGAGACCTACAGAACTAGGCCCCGCATGGACACTCACTTCACTTCCAGATGTTTGAAGTCCCACTTGAAATCTACTTCAGTCCTAATGATATTTACTGGTTTGACAACCCAAACTGATATCTGATATGATCTCTGGATGGATCAGCTAATGACACCTAGCAAAACTGGATTCCCTTGACAGCTTCCATAGGCCCAGGAAATCTTCCTCACTTGAGTAGAGGACAAAATAATGATTTGAGAAGAAAATCATTCCTGGAAGGAAATTCCCACTCTCTGAGACATTGCAGTCCCTGCACGGAGCTGCCTTCACCCCAGGGCCTCAGTTTCCCCATATGCCAAACAGTCAGAATGAGGCACCTCAGCATCTCAGCAGTGTGGTGAGCAGCGTGGTGGTGCTGCACCATCTCAAAAGCTTGGCGGTGTTCTTGTGTAACTGTCTGCCATCTGTTACTCAGAAGCGGCATTACAAAGCGCTGAGCAATGGACTCCTGTGCTGCAGCTTCTGCCTGGAGCCAACAGCAGCTCAGCAGCTTGCCTGGGGGTCCCCTGCAGAGCCTGCAGCAGAACGCTTTGCAGGCCCGAAACTGCAGGTCCCGGGTGAGGCTCCTGAAAGAGGTCCAAGGTGCTTGGGATGCTGCAGAGGTGAGTTCTCTTGCTGCTCCCCCTACCCCTCCCATGATGATCATCTACCTGGGCCTTTGCTGGGACAAAGCATTGGCTGGGGAGCCTACTCCCACCTTTCAGTGTTCAGAGTTCTGATAAAGGCAAATGCTAGATCAACCCTGGGGTTCTGTGTGATGGTCTAAGAGCGCAGGTAGATCTTGAAAGGGCTGGCAACAGTGCTCACCTTTTCTGGGCTGTTTAATTTCAACTGCGGTTCCCAACCCCAAACATCTTATCTACAGTCCAGTCAAGAACTCTCTGAGGTTGAGGCAGGACTTCCCTGTGGCTGAAAGATAAGGTACCAAAAACAGGAGGCTTTGAGTAGACGCCTCCATTTCTCAGTACATGTCTTTGGGGAGACATCTTATTGAAGAAGGAATTCCAGAGCCCTGATTTACAGCTGTCTCACCTGTGCGGAGGTATGGGAGCTTGCCCTACACTGAGCTTTATGGGGAGAGAGGGGCAGGGAGAATGGTGGCTGCCACAGTGGGTGCATCGTTCTCACCTCCCCAAGAAACTCGATGAAGCAAGCAACCCTCCAACAAAAATGGCATGGTTCCCGCTGCCTCTGCTCCCCAGACAGAGCAAGGTTTCCCCACTTTGAGTGGTCAGATAACACCAGCACCTTGCATTCAGCTTTCACCACTACTCATTTGCTTGTCAGAGGAGGTATTTTCCCTCCATTTTACAGATGAGGAATCGAAGACTGGGAGAAGGTAAATGACTTACCCAAGACTCACACAGTGAGTGTGACAGCTAGGTCAGTACTCTCTGGTCAGTGATCTGGCCGTGATTCCAGCCTACTTGAGCCTACATGGGAATTGGAGTTAGAATTTGCTTTGCTTCTAGATCCAAGCGGTTTTAATCTGCAAGTGGGAGGGGGATACAATTCCCAAAGGCCCTTGGGAAAAGGGGCTTTTGAAAGATCACCCTCTGCACCCAGTATCCTCCTGCCCAGGGTCACTTTCCAAGAATCCCAAGTGGTTGTTCCAACTTTGGACCTCTTTTCTTGCAAGCACAAAGCCCTGATGCTTACAGGGAGAGAAAACCTTTATGGGAGATAATTGCGCCTTAATTTTTTAAAGGATATCTTTAAAGTTAAAATTAGACCAGCTCAGCTTTCCTTCCGTTAAGCAGAAAAAGTTACCAGGCACCTGCAGGCAGGCATAGAAACACCCTGGGGAGTTGGCTGACCGCGGCCTTGGCCCTCAGTAGCCAGGCAAGTGAACCGCGGGTTTGGGGCAGCAGCCCTGCCGGCGCCCTGGAATCCCAGCCTTGGCTGTGGTAGGACGAGCACATTGGGGGTGGGACCCCGGCTTCAGCGCCACGTGCAGCCCCCGCGATGAGCGGGAAAGTCCTCCCAGGCACAGCGCCGCCTGGCGAGGGCCGGCCCTTGGGTCCCAGCTGGCAGCTGGGGGTGGCGGGCATCCCGAGTGCACCGCTCCCGCCCCGCCCCGCCTTGCCCCAACCCACGATGGTCTGGGAGCTGCGCCCAGGGCTTGGCGCTGGCGGCCCCGCAACAGCACCGAGCGTTTCGGTCGGCGGGCGGCGGTAGCGCCCCCTCTCAGAGCCCCGCTCACTCCCACCTGGGCTCGCTCCGAGTCGGCCTGTCTGTCGGGCCCGCCCTCCCCGCTCACTCCCTCCGCCCTCGTGCTCCTCCCGGGGTGCTTGGCACAGCCTCGGATTCCTCCCTCTCGCTGCTCGAGTCAGTTTCCCTATCGGCGGCAGCGGGCAAGGCGGCGGCGGCGGCGGCGGCAGCCGCGGTGGCGGCGTGGGGAACATCTCGGCAGCCACCGCGCTTCTCCCGCTGGAGCGGGCGTCCAGCTTGGCTGCCCTCGGTCCTTCCCTGCCACGTTTCGGGTCGCCCTGCACCCCCCACCCAGGCTCGCTTCTCTTCGAAGCGGGAAGGGCGCCTTGCAGGATCCTGCCGCCCCTCCAACCGGATCCTGGGTCTAGAGCTCCCCAGAGCGAGGCGCTCGCCAGGACTCCTGCCCCGCCAACCCTGACCGCCGGGGGGTGCCCCCGGGACGTAGCGCCGCGGAGAGGAAGCGGCAAAGGGGACCATGCGGCGCCTGACTCGTCGGCTGGTTCTGCCAGTCTTCGGGGTGCTCTGGATCACGGTGCTGCTGTTCTTCTGGGTAACCAAGAGGAAGTTGGAGGTGCCGACGGGACCTGAAGTGCAGACCCCTAAGGTAGGCGGCTTGCCGGCGCGCTGGCGCTGAGCGGTGGCTTGCGGGAGGGCGCGCAGCCCGCGTGCCGGGTTTGCGGGCTCCCGGGAAACCAGGGCGAGGGTCTGGGTGCTGCGAGCAGGTAACAGCCGCCGGATGTGGCTACCATGTGATGTTTCTGGATTTTAAAACGCTCGGGGGCATCTCCGGACCCGCGGTGTGCATGAGTGGCAGTGGGTGTGGGTGGTGGGCGCGCGCTCGCCTGCGGAGCGGGGCTCCCAACTTGAGCTGCGCGCGAGGGTCCCGGGGCGGAGGGGGCTCTGCGGACGGGCGGCCCAGGGGCTGGCGGTCTCCGGGCGCTGCCAGAGAGTCGCCGGCGGTCGGGTCGGGCCAGCGCCCGGGCGAAGTGTGGCGGCTGCGCTGACCTCCTTCCCGCAGCTGCCAGGCCCGACCTGGGGAGGCCGGAGGCCGGGTGCGCCGCGCGCGCCTGTGCGTTGCGGGCGAGCGCCTTGCAGCCTCCCGGGCGGCTGCCACCCCTGTTCTCTAACTGTTCCCGACCCTCTCAGCTGCATTGGAAGTTGAATGTGCCCAGAACACCACGAAAGAGCCTGTAAAAACAGACGCCTTGGTATTGGCGGGGAGTTGAGGAAATGGGAATCCAAGTGGCTTTTCCAACTCCTGCTCAGTCAGTTCCTGTGAGGGAGCCAGAAGGTTCCCCCTATAGGCTCACTCTTACCTTCAGATTCAGAGCCCTGTAGGGGGAAAGGGAAAACTTCCCCATGGCTCTCCGAAGGTTCACTGAAAATCAGTTGACAAAAGGCAGATCAATAGGAGAAAAGGCATAATAATTTATTTGATCATAGTTTTTCGTGACATGGTAGCCTTCCGTTTTCTCTTCACAGATTTGGCCCGGGGACACGGAAGGAGGCCTCTGGGGGATTTCCTGGCCAGCCAGGCAGTCTTTATAAACTGGGTCCAGAACAGTCGTCTAGGGGTCTGGGCAAAAGCCTTGGAGGAGCTTATGGTCGGAAATGGGAGACTGAAAAACAGGAAGATGTGGGCGGGAGGTGGCGTCTCACCAGTTAAGTACAGTACAGAGGGCCTACTGTGTGCCAGGTGCATAGTAGGTGCCTTCCTCATAAGTAGTTGTAGGAGTTGGGTGGTAATATGCTTGTTTCATAGATCAGGAAAACAGGTTCAGGGTCTTTAAGTCACGTACCTTAAGTCGTTCTACTGGTTTGAACTCCAGCCTCCACGCTCAGGGTTTCCAGTATATCAAGTTGCCTCTCGGTTTCCCCTTTTTAACCAAGTCTTCTAGCACTTATGTTCTGGAATCTTGCCAATGCTTTGTCGATTTCAACAAGCATTTATTTAGCACCTATTGTGTGCTCAGGCAGTGTGTTAGGTGCTATGGGTAGAGAGAGATAGAATTTACTCTCTGGGGGGAGAGGAGTTCACTCATCATTGGACCAGGATGTGAGGTGTGCATAGGGCTAAGAGGGTTCAGTGCACTGGGTGTCATGGGAGCCTGAGGTCTCCCTGGAGGAGGAGGACATAACAGAGCTGAGCTGAGAAGGATAAACAGGTTTGTCAGTAGGTAGAAAGGGCATTCCAGGTAGAGGTTAACTGCATGAAACAGGCTCAGAGGAATGACACAGCACGTTGTGTGAGTTTGGCATAATTTGAGCACAAAGTATGTGGAGGTTGGAGGGATAAAGTTTAGGGAGGTGTGTAGGGGCTGGGTGGGGTAGAATCTTGTGGGTGTGAGGACTCTTGGAGAGGGTCAGGCAGTGAGGTGGCGAGGCCAGATTGATGACTTCAAACCACCTTTAATAGCACCAGATCACTTTTCTCACTCAGCCCCTGCCCATAGATCTGGAGAGCTTTTCTTCTTTTTCCCTAGGTGGTTCTGCTCCCTGTGATGTAGTTAATGATACCTGCAGGGACATGAACTTTCTCTGTTTTGCTTCGACCCTCATTACCTTAAGCTTGCTTATTCTTAGTTTACACCAGGGATCTGGGACAAGAGACCTGTTTCTTTCTTTGTGCACTCTTTGTCCCTCCTCCTCTCCTGCCTCTTCTTATCCTGGCGTGTGCTCAGCACACATCTATCACAGGCAGCTGTATGCCAGGCTCTGTGCTGGGTTTGGGGGCTGCTATGATGAGCACGCTGTGTCCCTGTCCTTTGGCATGGGGGTGGGGGGCCACATAAGTTGCAGGATGAGGCAGAATTACCAACAAATGAGTGGTACTTTAAGGTGGGGAGTGGTTTAGTAGCAGAAGTCAGGACATTGTACTGTGCAGTCACAAAAGAGGAGGTTTTCTAGTTTTGAACCAGTTGCTCTTTGTCTTAACATCTTGTTCCTTCTTTTCCTCATTTTCTGTATCCTTCTAGAACCATGAATTTTTATAGACTTAGAAAATCTTGACACCTCTTACTATTAGGTGTCTTCTTTTTTTTTTGTTAGTATTTTTCTTCTTCCTGTTTTTCCCTTGTATGTATGTCGCTCTGTATCTTAGTGTGTATGTACCTGAGAAGAGAGGAAGAAAGACAGAGACTCCTTAGGTAACGCCAGAACAGTTTTATTCCCTGTGACTTTGTATGACAAGTCCAAATTTATATGACATGTCCAAAGGAGCACAGTGGTACCGAAACCTGGCTGCATGTCAGAATCACCTGGTGAGCTCCATTAACATGCAGATTTTTGGGCTTACTACAGAGATTATGCCTCTGTGAGTTTGGGAGAAGGTTCTAGAATTACTGTTTTTACCAGGGTTGCATGTGATTCTGAAGCAGCCTATTGATGGGTGGCATTTGGGAGCTAGATGAAGAATACCAAGTCTGTTGATCGTGGTTTGGTTGGCTGCATGTAAATATGGTCAAATGATTTTCTTCTTGAGTGTGCTTATGGACCTAACCCATGTAAGCCTATGCATGCATGTTAAATAACAGCCACCAGCATTTCTATAGGGCTTTACAAATTCACAGACTCCATTTACATATATTAGTTCATTTAATACTCACAACTGCACAAGGGAGACAAGATAGTACTTTTATGCAGATGACATTAAGGAGGTGAAAAATTTGGCCCAAGCTAACCAAGCTGTCCAAGTGGCAGCATCAGGACAAGAATGGAATGGGATCCCTCCTGAAACTGCCCACTGCTTGCTTTTTCCATGCCGTTAAACCCAGAGACTGCCTGAATTGACAGCAGGAATTCCCCACCCGCTTCCCAGAGCTCCCTTGGCTCATCCCTAGATCCTCACCCTTGGAGAGCTCCCAGGGGGTTTGTGTAAGGGAGGTGCTAAGGCAGGAGCTACTGCGGAGGGACATCACCCCTGCCCTTGGAAGGCACCATGTGGGGCACAGGAGGCTCCCCTCACTGGATGGAGCACACCCTGATGAGGAGAGTCCCTGTGTTGGGTGGTTGCAGAGGCGTTGGTTTAGGAGGCCATTTGCCAGGGCAGAGATTGTTTCTTCAACAGTAGGAATTCGGATGGGACTTCCATCTATCATAGGGAAAAAAGTTGGTTTTTGAGTGAGTTCCGTGCTGTAGGTTTTCCTAGCGTGTAATCATGGGGACAGCTCTTTGCCTTGGACATGCTGAAGCCTTGGAGAGGTTTTCTTCCTGCTCAGGCCTCTAGGCATCTTCCCAGCATGGGTGAGGGAGTCAGCTTTTCTTCCAAAGCAAGAGGAGTGGGCTCCCTTCCTTTGAATGTATTCAGAGAAGTTGGGAAAGGTGTAGAGATTGGAGAGAGCTGTATTAAGGGCTCCTGGTCTGGGGAACTACCCGACCCTTAGATTCTGTGGAGCAGATTGCCTTCGGAGAGGCAGGTTCTGGTTCTGGGCCATCAGGCCCTTGTTCTCTTTTCCTCGTGGTCTTAGGAAATGTCTCCACTCACCTAGTGACAGGATCTCCAAAGAGGGCGGGATGAAATGAAATCTCTGGTCGCTGGGCCCCAGTGCAAGTGAAGTGAAGAAGGCATGCTACACTCCTGGCTTAAGGAAATTTATTAGACTTTTTTCTTAGTTTCAAGAAGGGCTGATTCTTTCTATTAATAGCTCAAGTAAAGAGTTCTTTAAATTTGACTTTTTAACGTTAATTTCATTCTTTTACTGCCTCCCCCCCAATTATCCAGCAAAGCTCTAATTTCTAACTGAAAAATCCTGTAACAAATTGAGTGTTTTAATTCAGACTGTATTTGAATGGTAAATACTATGCCACTTAAAAGTAGCTGAAAAATGTTTTAATTTCTTCTCTCCCTATCATTTGTTTGCCATTTGGAGAATCATACAATAACTGACTAAAATTTTAAAAATATCAGCAAATTTGTCTCTTATTTCTAAGAAACTAAATATAGTCCAGGTGTTTAGGGCTTAGTAAAAGCAAAAGAATTGTAGGCCTGAGGGTAATTTTCAAGGAAGGTATTGGAAATGTAAAGGCTTTGAATAAAATGCCTCTGGCCCATGTAAGTGTATTGGTGCTGTACTAGAAATACAACAAACACCATTAGAAAATAGCTTGTCTTTCTGTAACATTTGCATCCCACCAATGCCTTAAGTATATGACACTGTTATTTTATTCCTCATTTAGTAGATAATTTCTCTCATTAAAAAAAGTCATAAATTTTAGAGAGAGACCCTATTAATCTACTCATACTTGGTATGTGCATATTGGACTCTGTCCAGGGAATTTTGTAACTGTCCAACGGGTTCTTGTTGCCCGCTTCCTAGACAGAGCCAATGTATCAAGACAGGGGAATTGCAATAAAGAGTTTAATACACGCGGAGTGGCTGAATGGAAGACTGGAGTTTTATTATTACTCAAATCAGTCTCCCCGAAAATTCAGAGACTGGGTTTTTTTTTAAGGATAATCTGGCGGGTAGGGGGCCAGGGAGTGGGAAGTATTGATTGGTAGGGTTGGAGATGAGATCATGGGGAGTCAAAGCTGTCCTCTTCCTCTGAGTCAGTTCCTGGGTGGGGGCCACAAGACCAGATGGGCCAGTTTATCGATCTGGGTGGCGCTAGCTGATCCACCCAGTGTAGGATCTGAAAAATATCTCAAGCACCAATCTTAGGTTTCACAGTAGTGATGTTATCCCTAGGAGCAACTGGGGAGGTTTAGAATTTTGTGGCCTCCAGCTGCATGACTCCTAAACCATCATTTTTAATCTTATGGCTAATTCGTTAGTCCTACAAAGGCAGTCTGGCCCCCAGGCAAGATGGGGGTTTCTTTTGGCAAACGGCTGTTTTCATTTTTGTTTCAGGGTTCTTCCCAAAGTTAGTGCAGCCTACACCCAGGATTGAACAAAGACAGCTTGGAAGTTAGAAGCAAGATGGAGTCTGTTAGGTCAGTTCTCTTTCACTGTCAATTTTCTCATTGTTGTAATTTTTGCAAAGGCAATTTCAGTGTGACTCTGGCATGACCAGAAGTAGCCCATGATGAGATGCATGCTCATCCTTTCAGTTGCTGTGTGGGTGCCTGTACAAGGTGCTGTGCTTTCTTTCCATTCTAAGGCAGTTCCCAGGAGCAGGTGTCTGGGTGGTGGTACACAGCTGGCTCCTGCAGAGGCTCTTGTGAGTGACTGAGAAATATGCAAATGGCAGGTTGGGATCCCAGGTAGTCAAGAAATCATATGTGGTCACTTCTTAGATGTCAAGAAGCTTTTTCTAAAACAAAAACAAAAACAAAACCACTGAGCCTCTATCCCATGGGTATGGTGAGAAATTCACCGTGGGTCATTTTTGGCCTATTCTGGGTTGTCCCAAGGCCCGGAGTCCAGGCCTCTGGTTGTCAGCGCTGAGTCAGTGGCGGATGTGCTGTGTCCCAGCTTCCTTTCACTCTCCTAGCCCACTCTCTCCCCCAGGTCCCTGCAGGAGGCCCTGTCCCAGGGACCTGCAGATGGAATCTCTTTTAGTCAGGCTGGGGAGCTCTATCTCTCCCTAACCTTTGTTTCCCAAAGTGACCTGATAGTTTTTGGAAAGAAATACCAGGAATTCCTCTCTCAAACTTCCCCAGAGGCACAGAATGATACCTACTCAAATCAGAGAAGACAGAGGGGCAAAGCAGGAAGGGAAGATCCATTAATGGCCCTGTCACAAGCCTCCCCAGTCTGTCCAGAGACTAACCTTTTTCAGGGCTGCCCATCTGGTTGTATCATTTAAAAGTGCTAATTTCCACTCATCAGAGGTCATTTATAAACTGAACAGGGACGGAATAAGGCTGCCGTGGGCTGACGCCTGAAGCCCAGGATTCCTGCACAGCTTGGTTTTCATGCCATCTGATTTTACCTCCTGTGCCTACATCCTACACCATGCCTCCCCATCCCAGCTTTCTGAAGTGGTCTTATTCATTGTCAGACACCCAGGAACCAGTTTTTGAAGACCTTCATTGCTTGAGCCCTTGTTTCATTTCTAATGTTTGCAGTTTTGTCACTCTTCTATAGCATCCCAAAGTCCCCAATGCATTTTTTGGAAAATAATCTGAATTAGAAAGCAGGGCCAGATCCCCAGCTCCTCTCCTGGGGGAGTCTGTGAACCCTGCCATGGCTTTTGAATATTCCACCCCAGAGACCTAGAATCGTAGACTCACCATCTGTTTGGGGAAGTGAGTCTGGACATGCCCGTGCCCTCTACCACTGGCTGCAGGCCCCTGCCACTTGCCTGTATTTATCCTGGGCTGGGTGTGAGCCTTTTTCCTCACAGGGTCCTCAGAGACTCATGCTGCACACAAGCGGCAGGAGATAGAGAGAGTCCCACCTTCTCTAGCTCCCATCATGTCAAGATCAAGTGTGTTTTACTCCCCGAGTTTCCTGATAGACATGGCAGCCAGTGTGGCCACTGGCAGTGCCAGGGGTGACTGAGATTCCTCTCTTCCTGGCTCAGTCTCCTTGACTGTGAAATGGGAGCAGCTCACTCTAGAACTGTCTGACCCCCACTTGCTTACCAGCAGTCTGAGTCTTTTCAGGTTAGTTATGAATAACTGTGAAGTGAGACCTTATGGCTATAAATAATTATACTACAGATACTCTGTGTCTATTACTTTTAATTATTTTACCAGAAATGCTAGATTAACCAAAAAATAAATCAGTCTCAGTCCTCAGATGTTGAGCTGATTAAGAAAGAACCCCTTTGGGATACCGAAGAACATGAACACACACATATACACACACAGGCACACACACAGGTGCGCGCGCACACACACACACACACACACACACACACACACACACACACACACACACAGAGGTACCCTGGGGAATTCTGCAGGAGCTCCTGCAATGTGCTGGCTCTGGTATTTTGGTTTTTCAGAATAAATGGCCTGATGTGACCTTCTGAGGTGACAGTCTTTGCATTTGGCAGTGGCTGCTGCCATCCCAGGGCCTAATGAGAGCTAGAGGCTGACAGAGGGATAGAGGAGGGGACATCTCTGTGGTGTGGGAGGTGTGTGCCACCTAGGGCATCCTCTTTCCTCCTGATGTTCTGTCCATGCTCCATCCTCCCCTTCACATTCTTCTTCTGTCCCCTGAAAAGCCAGCCTGGCTATACAGCCCCAGGGTCCTGGGACCAGGGCTCCAGTGGTGGCTGGCCCTCTGCCCTCTGCTCTGTAGAAGCCCAACACTTCCCTGCAGGCCCCAAGGTCAGGAGCAGCCACCTCTGAGAGCACCGCTCTGGACACAAAGCTAGTTCTTTCCTGAAGGAAGGAGGTTGCCACTCTGGCCTTTCTATCAGCAGGAGCCCTTATCGCTGGGAATACAGAGCCATCTGATCCCCTGCATCCTGGACAATGCTGGTTTCAAGTACAAAGCCTTTTCTGCGTGCCATTTCCTGGAGACAAGATGAGGCACTTAAAAAATAATTAAATTCTCCTTATGTCACTTGTCTTCTTAACTGTAAGCACTACAGAGATCTTTCAAGGAAATGCAGGAGAGCAGGGCACACTCACATGTCTCTGCCCTGGGATTTGAATGCCCAGATGAAGAGAACAACCACCCCGGCTGTCTTCTTCCTAATGATCCTGCTCTTGCAACCCGATCTGCATGCATGCTAGGCAAGGAGAGAGCCTGAAACATCTATAGAACTAGTAGGGCCACTCTCTCTTGACGAGCTCTCTCCAAAGAGGTTAACTGTCTCTTTTCTCTGTTTGCACTATGGTTTGGAAATAAGGATTTTCTTCCTTAGTTGTCTGGGCTGAAGATTTATGTAGCTTCTCTTATTCCTCAGAGAACAGTAATCATTGATGTCCCTCCCACCCCCCACCTCCCAGCCATAGAGACTGGTCCAATCAATATTTATGTGCCCATCTCTCGCAGCTGCAACATGCAGGCATAATAGATGCCAGATTCCTTGATGGCCACTGAAAAATTAGCTGGTGCCTGTATTTCAGGCTTATTGTTTCCTAGGATCTCAGGGAGATCAGGCCACGTGGTCTGTGGATTAATTAAGGCACCCAGATAATTGGCTATTAATAGATGGCCAATTGATGGCTGCCAGCTGGGTGCTGAATTGACTAATGTCCTTATGGTGGGCAGGTGGTCTTTATCAGAAGAGGAGCTAGCTGAAAGACTTTACTAATTAAAGGGTGAATCAGGAAAAGAAGATAAGAGGTAGCTTTTTTCCCCACCACTTGGTGTGATGTTTTACAGTTTACAAAGCATTTATATCCACAGTTGCCTCATTTGATCCTTACTGCGACTTTGTGAGGTGAGTGTTATTATTATTCTCGTTTTCTGAACTGTGATGAATCTGAGGTGATAGCAGGGTAGGGACTTGGGCAAGCTAGCCTAATCAGCAAGTGGGCTTCAACTCGCTCTTTTGACTGTCACGCATATGCTGTTTCTGTTAGAGCCACGCTCAACTTCAGGTGAGATTCCTTTGCCAGGGAAGATGAAATATATATGTGTATGTTATATGTTTGTTTTCATATGGACAAAAAGCTAGTGCACTTGCTGAGAAAAGATGCCCTCCCTCTGCTGAAACACCAGCATTGCTTTGTGTGTTTTTTTTTTTTTTCAATTTTATTTTTTAACTTACAGAAGGGAACTGGAAAAGGGATTAAGGGAAATACAGAGCTTGTCTCTGGAAGGCCACCAGAGGGTCTGGAGGACTTTGGGTTTTCTTCTAGGAAAGGCCAAGTTTAACCCATGCTTGGGCCAGTCAGGGCCAGTCCACGGGACCACTGCTTTCTGGAGTGGAAAGAGCTGGGACTGTAACGGCAGACTCGGTGGTGCAAGAAGTGGAGAGAGGCTCTCCGCCCTTCCCCCTCCCCACAAGTACCCCACATCAGGTTCTGACTCTGGCCTAGCCAGGAGCCCACGCTGCCCTGCTACTACCTCCCTCCTGGGCCTGCAGGGTTTGCTGGCAGGACAGGAGGCTGTGCTGTTCATTCCTAGGCTGCTCCAAGTTAGAAATCAGCAGGGTTGTGGAGTTAAGACACAAACTGTTTGAGTCCCTTTCTTGATGAATGTGGTCCTTAAACTATAGGAAGCAATTTCCTTCCAAGAGGAAAAATGTCATTTGAAAGAACCTAACACATCCTATTTGAAATGCAAGCAAGTGCCTGGGGAAATGACTCCAGGAAGTGACTTTAGAAGATATCCAACGTCACCTTAATGTAGAGGGTGCCCTGCCTGCATCTCTAATGCCGGGGTGTCCTGGCCATGCCTCTAATGTGGGGGCACCCTGCCATGTCTTGCTGGTTAGCCTTGAAAACTGATGGACAACTCCTCAGTTCTGTCTCGTTGGTGGCCTGCTGGTTCTACCCAGTACAGGGACCAGACTCTTTGTGGAGGATTTGGAGGTTGGGTTTGAGTTATGTAGGCTCTGCCCACATATGTGGTTAAACTTAGGAAAGCGTAAGATCAGGAGGCTGCTGATGTCTTCCTGGATATTTTGTCTGCAGTTCCAGTAAGCTCCTGGGCCCATGGTGGTGTTTTTGTGACATGGCCTAAACAATAAAGTTGGTACTCTGCTCTAAGATCCCAAGCAGAAACATGACTTTTTTACTCTTGTCCTTTTCCCCCGAGCATGGCAATGTTAAAGGACACTGCATTTTTAAAAACTATGTGTGGAATAAGAATGAAAAGAAATGTAAACCTAGATGACCCTGATATTTTCCCTCTCCACTTGGAAGCCCTGATGGTTTTCTAATCGTTTGCTCAGATCAACTCTCTATAATTCTCCCTGCCTGTCTTAAAACTGAAATTATGATTTCTGCTCCAGATTTTAGCTTTTCTCCTAAAATTGAGTGTATATTTTGGTAAACTTCTTGGCAGTGTCTACTAAAGCTAAACATATGTGTACATCTATGACCCTGCAATTCAACTCCTACATATAAACCCAACAGAAATGCTATGTATTTTAGGGAATGTCATGCACTTGAATTAGAGCAGGCAAACTTTTTCTGTCAAGGGCCAGTAAGTATTTTTGTTTTGTTTTGTTTTTAGGTTATATGGTCTCTGATGTGACTATTCAACTCTGCAGTTGTAGTTTGAAATACAATATGTAAATGAATTAGTGTCACTGTGTTCCAATAAAACTTTATTTATGGAAGCAGATATTTGAATTTCATATATTTTTCACATCGCATGAAGTATTCTTCTTTTGGTATTATTTTGAAAGATTTATAAATATAAAATCCTTTCTTAGTTTGTAGGATGTACTAGGACAGGTGGCAGGCCAGATTTGACCCGCAGGCTGTGTGATTGCATTTATATAAAGTACAAGAACAGGCGAAATTCATCTCTGGCATTGTAAGTCAGTTCATGGTTACCTGGGTTGGGGTAACTGACTGGATGGGGACAGGACATTTTGGGGCACTGGCACTGTTCAGTTTCTTGATTGGGGGGCTGGTTACACAGGTGCGTTCACCTTGTGAAATTCCTTGAGTACATGTTCTTTTCTCTTTGTGCATTCTACTTCAATAAAAAGTTGAAAAAGAAAGATCTGAACTGAGTGTGTGGCTCCTGACTCCAAGTTTTAGCACCTCATTTAGGGTCAGAGCCTAGCAGTTTCCATTCTTTATATAGCCACTGGTTTCTGTTTCCCAAATAAGTCTTTGGAAAAGGTCTTGGTTTGAAAGTTACCCACGTCTTACTCCCTTTTATAGACAGAGAGACATTTAGCAACTGCTATGGCACAAGCACCAGCTAACCAAAGTATGTGCTGGATCATAGGAAGATGATGGGTCGTAGAGTGGAGGGGCATGCAGGACAATGGGAACTGCGAGTAGGACTTTGGCTGGTATAGTAGCCCCATGGTACATCTGGGATGAAGTCTACCTAGAGTTATAGGTAAGAGGTGAAAGTGTGATTGCAGAGAATAGAATTATGTGATGTGAGTGAGCTACTGGCTTGTAGAACACTCGCTTCTTGTTTCTGCATCCAGAAGAACAGGCAGAGAACTAACAATCTGAGCCTGTAGTAAGTGTTGGGTGCTTTCTGAGTTAGTCATCTATTCTTTTTAACAACACTGCACGGCCGGCATTCTTAGGTTGGTTTTTCATGTGACGAACACCAAGGCTTAAGGAAGCTTGGTGACATATCCAAGATCATGCTGTTTATAAGTAAGCCAGGGATCTAGATTCCAAACCAGGTCTGTCTGCCTCCAGAGCACCCACCCTCTTTCAACTTCCATATGCTCACCCCAAGCTTCCTTCCCTCCCCTCACAGCCACGTTGAGTCTGTGAAAGGGAGGACTTGAATGTATTTTTCCCTTTGCAACTTGCCTTTAGAACCTGGGTTCACTGTGCTTCCCAGAGTGAACAGTTTAGATCAGAAATTGTTGGATGAAATAGTCTTACATCAGAAGCTATCTCTTTCAGGATGAGTCATTTTAAAACAATGTTTAAAGAGAAAACTTTACAATATTTTCAGAGAAATATTTTGTGCTTTCACCGCTATCTGACATCCCCTTATGAATGCTGTCCTGCCACAGATGACTGGGAATGTGTCTGGTCCTAGGGTTAAACTTTAAAAAAGGAAGTCTCCAAAGTATCACATTTTTGAGAGTGTTAAGGTGCTTTAGGAATACCTGAAGACTGATTAAAGAGAGGACACTGAGGAATTAACCAACAGATGCTGAAAATACAAAGGCCATCATGAATGGCTAAAAACTGCAGCATCACCCCTCAGAGAGGAATCGTCCTGTATTTAGCATAACACCACATTATTTGGTTGTTTGTGCTGAGGAGTTGAAAGCTATCATGTGCCAGGAAAATACTCAGCATGGAGCAGTAATTATGGATCAGCTGATAATAAAGGATGTATTGGATTGACTGCTAATTAGATTATTAGCTGCAAAAACAAATACCTGCTATTAACCATAAATAAGCTGCACTTATGATATTTTCTACGTTTTACACTTAGTCCTTTTTATAATGTGCATTTCTTTTCTTTCTGTGCCAAGACTTCCCATTTTCCCCAGTCATACTGAGCATATTTGTGGGTCAATAAACATTGAGCCACAATTAAAGTGTTCTTTTTTCCTTCCATTCTCCTGAAGAATGGGGGGTGAGAAAGCTGATATGCATTGAGCGCCACGTGTAAGGTCCTTGGTGAAGTGTAGTCTGTTTTCTCAGGGAAGAAATAAGGGCTCTTTCAAGGCTGGATCCAGATCTTTCCTATGGGCACAGAGTCTTTGTGAGGGGTAAGATCTCTGTGAAATCAATGCTGCTATTAATTGCCAAAGAAATGACCATGTTGCTCTTCTTTCTTGTGGCATTTTCAGGTTTGGTCCTTGTTTTTCAAGGTGGCTGGGATGAGCCCTTGGGCGCCTCAGGTGCCTGTATCACCCACTCCTCCCTACCAAAGAGGGCATCTTCCTACAGGTAGGTTGACTGTGTGTCCCCAGGAGTGTGAGGTGCCAGCTGCTTTTCTGCCCAAGCAGGCCCTGGGTACTGTGGGTAGGATGATCTGCCAGAGCTCCTGGGCGCACCCCAGGATGTCTGGAGAGAGAAGTTGCATCCAGCAGGAGGCTCTGGCCATGCTCTGAATAAGTGGCGCAAGTGACTGTCAAGTGTCCTGCATTCAGTGCTAGTAGAAGACCTGGTTTGTGGCCTCCGTTATTGGCCAGGAGTCCACGTAGAAAGAAGAGGCTTCCAGGGGAGAGGTGAATGTGAGTGCCTTTTAGGAGAAATGCTGGGTGCTTTATCTGTATCAGTTATTCATTCCTCACAACCACCCCACAAGGTGGGCAGGCTGAGATTCAGCGACTGCTACCAGTACAGTCATACTGGTTATTTAAGGTTGGTGCCTTTCTCTTTAAACAGTGCCTGGGAGGTTGCAGTGAGCCGAGATTGCACCACTGCACTCCATCCTGGGCAATAGAGGGAGACCCTGTTTCAAAAACAAACAAACAAAAACAAAAAAACAGTGCCTGAACCATGCTAATTGTTAACATTTTCTCTTTGCAATATTATCTCTGGAGGGTGTATCGATTACCTTTATTTTTACCAGTGAGGGAGTTGAGGTTCCTAAAGGTCCAATATCTTGCCCAACACAACAAGGGTGACATGATCAGGGGAGGAAATCCAACCTTACAGAACAACGCCTGGTAAATTTAAATGCAATTGTCAAACGTTTATCCCCATGTATCCCTGTAAAGATTCTCTTCTTCCCCTCAGCCTCACTTTCCACTTTGACTCAAAAGAGAAAAGACAGCTATCCATTTTGCATTTCCTCCCACCATGAATAATTGGTGGAACTAAGACCGGACGTAGGATGCTAGAGCCCTGGCAGGAGTGCCACTGGGGCAGTTGGCAAGCAGGAAAGATGGGTGAACTCCTTGGAGGTTTCCCCCTTTGAGTGCCTGTCAAGCATGGGGAGACAGAGCGGGCAAAATCACCTGCCCCAGGTCACTGGATCAAGTTTGTCCGAACATCCGGCAAACCCATATGGGGTGCTGCTGTGTGGGAAGCCCTGTGTAGGAAGCGGGGGTGAATTCTGAGGGAGTGTGGAGTGTGTAGCAGTGGCTCTCTGCTGGCCCCTCCCTCACCACTTCTGATTCCCGAACACTGTGTTCCTCTTAGATGTATTGCTGTATTACTGGAAAGATACAACTGTGTCTCTGGGGATGCTGTTTAATGGTGGAAGGAACTGCAAAATGGATAGCTGTCTTTTCTCTTTTGAGTCAAAGTGGAATGTGAGGCCAAGGGGAAGAAGAGAATCTTTGCCGGGGTACATGGGGATACAAGTTTGAGACAATTGCTTTTAAATTTACCAGGCGTTGTTCTGCATGGTTGAATTTCCTGTCCTGATCATGTCACTCTTCCGTTAGCTCAGAAAACTGTGGTTGAAGTTTAATCTCATCCTTAAAGCTGTTTCACTAAAATAGGAAACTGTTATTCCACAGGGCTGCTTATTAGAAGAAGAAGGATTTAGGGAGGTCTTTTAAAGTCATTTTAGTGATTTTTTTGAAAGAAGCATTTGCCGCAATCCACTTGTCCCCAAAGCATCTGCTGTTTCAAAGCATAACACTAGTGGAAGCATAACAGGAAGGGAAAGCCAGCATCAGGATAGGGAATAGGCTGAGCAACCCACTTTTATTTAGTCAGTTGAGGACACCTGTCGTGGGTTCTATACGTTTTGGGCACCATGGACCAGGTAGCCTATGGATCAACTGCAACCCCTACTTTCTCCACTGTTTTTGTATGGCCTGTGAGCTAAGAATGGTTTTTATAGTTTTAAATGATCAGAGAAAAACTCCAAGGAAAAATAATATTTCATGACACATGAAAATTATTAATACATGAAATTCAGACTCCATGGTCCATCAATAAAGTTTTTTTTTTTTTTTTTTTTGAGATGGAGTCTCGCTCTGTTGCCCAGGCTGGAGTGCAGTGGTGCCACCTCGGCTCACTGCAAGCTCCGCCTCCTGAGTTCATGCCGTCCTCCTACCTCAGCCTCCCGAGTAGCTGGGACTACAGGTGCCCGTCACCCCGCCCGGCTAATTTTTTGTATTTTTTAGTAGAGACAGGGTTTCACTGTGTTAGCCAGGATGGTCTTGATCTCCTGACCTCGTGATCCGCCCGCCTCGGCCTCCCAAAGTGCTGGGATTACAGGCGTAAGCCACAGCACCCGGCCCAATAAAGTTTTATTGGAGCCGAATTCCTTTACGAATTGTCTATGGTTGCTTTTAGGCTACAATGGCCAAGTTGAATAGTTGTGATGGAGACTGTGTGACCCACAAAACTTAGATCTTTACAATAAAAATAGAAAATAATTTGTATATTTTTATAGAAAACAAAAATTTATAGAAAATGTTTATAGAAACATTTATAGAAAATGTATAGAAAAAATTTATAGAAAACACCCCTGATGTTTTGTTTCTCAGTGTGGCTCATGGGCCAGAAGGGTTAGTGTCTCTTATAATTCATTAGAAATGCAGAATCTCAGACCATTTCAGACCTACTGATTCAAAGTCTGCATTTAGTAAGATCCCCAGGTGATCTGTGTGCAATCAAAGTTTGAGAAGCCCTGCATTAGATGATGTGCTTGCTCACGAAAAGCCTGTGTGAATCATACTCCACAAGACCAGCTCTACATTCAGTGCCACTTGTCTTTATTTTCTTGGAGTTAAATGCGATTCCAAGCTCCCATTCCCCCATGTGGGGATGGGGATTCCTCTACTCACGGCTTCACAGCGATTCTGGAGGCTTCCTCCATGCCAGGTAATGTGGGAAGAGCTTGTAGTCTTCCAGGTATCACCATCACGGCTGTTTCATCATTGACTGTGCCCTTCACGTTCTGCTTATCCCGGGCTAGTGGCTTCCCTGTGGTACCCGGAGCCCCCTGTGTCCAGTGGCCGGCCTTCCTAGGGGCATCACACAGCCATTTTAATTGGGCTCTGCTACCTTCTGGGACACCCACCACTCTCAGGACTGGCTGTATCCCATTCTCCTTCCAAGCTGGAGGAATTCCCTCTCTCTCTAGTCCTCAAAGGCATTGCCCTTTTTTTCACCCTCTGGGCTATTTATTCCTTCAAATAACACTGGCTTTTGTAAATGATAGAAGATGGCCTATTTCCTGGTATCTCTGCTTTAGGCTTAGGAATACCATCTTCCTGGAAGCCAGGAAGCATTTGGATCTTGGTTATCTGCTGAGGTCAGGGGTTGGGGCAGGGCAGAGGTGGGAGTGGGAGGTAGATGGAAGTGAGAACAAATGCAAACAAATATCCCATTATCCTAGCACCTCTACGCCATGTTATGATGCAGTTGAGGGGACATGACTAACACCATCTAGGACAGTACTGAATCTAGGAGATCTTCCTGTAGAACAGGAGGCAGGTTCTGTGGGAGCTTAGAGAAAGGGAGATTATTGGGCGGCAGTGGGCAGCGAGGTCTTCCTAAGGTGGCAGGACTCAGCATGAGTGACTAGAGATGAATAGAAACCAGGAGTGGGCCAGACTGCGGAAAAGTTAAAAAATAAAGCCGTTTGCTTATTTTTGTTCTAAAACCAGAGTGTGTCAGATTTCCCCAGTTGGGAATATTATACTCCACTCACTGGGGACTTTGTTCAGTAAATGTTTTGGGTTTAAGGGTTTTATTGTCTATAGTATGTCCATTGCTCTTAAAGGGGCAATTCAGTGAAATTTGAACTTGGCATTCCCTTTCTCTTACCCTTCTGGCCTAAATGAGCGTTGCTGTGTATGTTCTGTATTCCTCACCAGGCTTGATTCTGGCTTTTCTCGACCACCTGTTTTCAATTTTAATTTGTGTAGCTGCTCTTAGAGAAATTACCTGTGGGGAAGTCATCTTGCCTGTCTAGATTCCTTACAGATGAAGCCTTGGCAGGGCCATGGCCAAAGTCACTTAGAATGCCCTTGGACAGGCATGCTGGGCTCCCGAGTTCAGAAGGTCTGAGTCCATGCACATTGGTTGGAGAAAGTGAACTGTGAAGACATCCCTGCTGATGTGACCAGGGCCTGGAAGAATTCTTTCTTGTGTACACCAAGCACAGAGGCTGGCAGATTTGCAGATGTTATTTGAGATGTGTGCTGATCCACTGCACCTCTTTCCAAATTGCTGTCTTAGGAAACTAAACCAGGAATGGTCCTAACACAGTGGACATGGAAATATACTCATTATGCACCAAGTTTAAAACAAAGAGGATTCAAAATTGTGTCCATGGCTGGGCGTGGTGGCTCACGCCTGTAATCCCAGCACTTTGGGGGCCGAGGCCAGTGGGTCACCAGAGGTCAGGAGTTTGAGACCAGCCTGGCCAACATAGTGAAACCCTGTCTCTACTAAAAATACGAAAATTAGCTGGGCGTGGTCACACACATCTGTAGTCCTAGCTACTCAGGAGGCTGAGGCAGGAGAATCACTTGAGCCCAGGAGGCAGAGGTTGCAGTGAGCCAAGATCGTGGCACTGCACTCCAGCCTGGGCGACAGAGTGAGACTCTGTCTAAAAAAAAAATGTGTTCATGGTAGGATACTAATTTGTTTAAAACAAGATATATACGTTGAAAAAAGTTGTAGAGAGAAAATCAAAATGGATGATTTACGTAAATGGGCTATTGTCTGTGTGATATTTCTCACTGCAACTTATTTATCTATCTTTTCACTCACCACCCTCTGCTTCACCCCCTTTGAGATAAGCAACATAAGAATCTGGATATGTGAACTTCAATAGCTTTCTCTCTGCATTGTGTAACCAGTTTGTAAACATGTATAAACATTTACAGATCTGTTTTGGTTGTTATTAAAAAGGAGAGTGAGAGATTGATCACATTATATATACTTTGCATCTTCTCTTTACTTAAGTATATATTCTAGAAATCCTACTGGTCAGCTAGCTCATTATTTTTTTTTTTTTTTTTTTTTTTTGAGACGGAGTCTCGCTCTGTCGCCCAGGCTGGAGTGCAGTGGCGCGATCTCGGCTCACTGCAAGCTCCGCCTCCCGGGTTCACGCCATTCTCCTGCCTCAGCCTCCCGAGTAGCTGGGACTACAGGCGCCCGCTACCACGCCCGGCTAATTTTTTGTATTTTTAGTAGAGACGGGGTTTCACCTTGTTAGCCAGGATGGTCTCGATCTCCTGACCTCGTGATCCGCCCGCCTCGGCCTCCCAAAGTGCTGGGATTACAGGCGTGAGCCACCGCGCCCGGCCTAGCTCATTATTTTTAATGACTGCATAATATTCTGCAGTGTGGATGTAACTTATTTTATTCAGCTATTTCCATTTGATGGGTATACACTTTATCTCTCATCTCTTGTTGCTACAGACAGAGCTGAAATAATCTATGTACACATATTCTTACATGTTAGAGCTTTTGCTTCTGAAGTATAACTTTTGAGGAGTGGGAATTCTGAGTCAAAAGGAGTCTGTAATTTTTATATTATGTATATTTTAAGATTGCTTTGTAAAACAATCTACATTTTCGTTAGCAAAGTACGAGAGTACTCTTTCCCCAGCATCCTCTTTGGTATAAATGTCGTCATTTTCGTTTTGCCAACCTAAAGAGTATGAAACGGGATCCAATTGTAATTTTATATTCCTCTGATTACCAGAGAGGTTGAGTATGTTCTCATATGTTTATTGCATGTAAGGATCTTGCCCTTCTATGAGGGGTCTATTCATATCCTCTCCCTATTTTTCTACTGTACGGTTTATCTTTTTGTTGCCAAGTAAAAGAGCTCTTTGCATGTTATTGATAGTTCTTTATTAGTCATATATGTTGCAGATTTTTTTCTGATTAATTTGTTAATACTGTTGACTTTATGGTATATATTGCCATATAACTTTTTGGCTTTGAAAAATACAGTCGAATATGTCTTTTCAAAAAATAGCTCATGAATGCCCTGTCTTGATTAAAAAGATCATCGTAAGTCCTAGATTGTACATAGAATATCCCAAATTTCCACTTTTATATGATTTTTTTTTCTTAAACTTTTAAATCTTAGGTCCATCTGGGATTTATTTTTATGTCAGGTTTGAGGTAGGGATTCAACTGTATTTTCTTCCAAAATGAATAGTCATTTGTGTCAACATCATTAATTAAATAAGCCATCACTTCCCCCACTAATTAAAAGACCACTTTGTCATATAATTTCCCATAAATATTGGGTTCTAGTTCTGGGAACTCCATTTTCCATGGACCTCTTTGTCTTTTACTATGGCAATGTCATACTTTTTACCAGAATTTTCTTATTAAATCCAGTAGCTACTTCTCAATTAGTCTATTGAATTTCCTAAGTATAAAAATCACATCATTATCAAAATAAGTAAAATTTGTCTCTCCTTTTTGAGATTTATCTTGACTATTTTATTGTCTTATTTTGTTGCATTCATGAGAACTTTCAAAATTAAATGCCGTGGCAGTATAAGGACTCTCTTGATTTTGATGCAAATGGCTTTAGTGTTCATTATTTACTGCTCACCTTTATTAGATATTCTATATCACATTTTAACTTTTGTTTTATTCTTGATTTACTTTGAGTTTTTATTAGTTTTTTTGGATTTTTATCTTTTGATTGAATCATATTTCTCTTTTATTGATGCAGTGATTTATTTTGATTTTCTTGTTTTGAATCATCCTTGCATTCCTGGAATGAACTCTATTTAGTTACAGTTTATTTTTATTTATGCTACTGGCTTGTATTTGTTGACATTTATTTGGAATTTTAACATCTATTTTCATAAGTTGGATTTGTTTATAGTTTTTTTTGGTACTTTGGTTTTAGATTTAGGTGTGTATTGCTTTGATAAAATGAATTAGGGAAGTTTTTTAGCAGATGAGAATAGTTTAAATAACTTTCGCCGATTTATTCTTTAATGATCATATAAAACTCAGCTGTGAAATTATCTAGTTCTATTGACTTCTTCAATGGTAGCCCTTTAGTCACCTTCTCTATCTCTGCCATGATACGTCTAATTACTCACCAAATTCTGATGTCTCGTTGTTTGGGCACACAGCAAGATTGCATTTCACATTCTCCCTTGCTTTAAGTAGCATGTAACTAACTTGGGTCCAATAAAATGGAGTAGAAATGATGGGTTCTATTTATAGGCCACACTATAAAACCTCCCATGCACGATCTGCCATATTCTTCTCCTTCTGCCAGATAATGTGGGTGACAAGACTCTAGGGATGGCAGGGCCACATGATGTAAGATGTTTTGGTCTCTAAATAACTGAATGGAAGAAAGCTTCCCTATTGTCCAGAACACCTACCCAAGACTACTGTGTAAGCAGGAACTTCTGCTTGTTAGCATAGCCTATCTTCCACTATTGCATATGGTAACAGGTCTTTTCACGTTTTCTACTACTTCTTTGGTCAGTTTGGGTAGTATCCATTTTGTTAGTAAATTAACCCATGTCTTTTAGGTTTTAAAATTTTACCAAAGTTGCACATAGTAGTGTCTTCTAATTCTGTGTTCTACACCTATGGTCATATCTCCATTCACGTTTCCAATCATACATATTTTATCCTTTCTTAAACCTACTCCATCTTATAGATGTTTTCAAAGAGCCAGTTTTTGCATTTATGTACCTTCCTATTACATTTCATTTGTAGTCATTAATTTTAACTTTTCTTGCTAGTAATGCTCTCTATTTTTGAATATTCCTGTTTTAGAAATAATTAGGGCATATAGGGTTGTACATTTCTTTTGCATGCAGCCAGCCTTTGCTGTGTCCCATACATTTTGACTGGCTTCCTCTTCAGTTCTTACTAGACTATTTATATTTTTAATTTTGATTTTCTATTTGTCTGAAGAGCTACTCAGGTAGGAGCATGTTTCTCAATTTCAAAATCCTTAGGATTTTTGATACTTTTAATTTTGGATTGTATTGAATTATGAGATGAGAATGTGGCCTATCAAATCTCTACTTTTCAAAATTTTTAAGTTTTTATTAATGGCCAATTACATAATCAATATTTAAAGTGTCTTTTGGACATATGAAAGAAAGCCCCTGAATATTCTTTTTTTTAATTTTTTTTTTCTGAGATAGAGTTTCGCTCTTGTTGCCCAGGCTGGAGTGCAATGGCGTGATCTCAGCTCTCTGTAACCTCTGCCTCTTGGGTTCAAGTGATTCTTCTGCCTCAGCCTCCCAGGTAGCTGGGATTACAGGCATGCGCCCCACACCTGGCTAATTTTGTATTTTTAGTAGAGATGAGGTTTCTCCATGTTGGTGAGGCTGGTCACCTGACCTCAGGTGATCTGCC
Source organism: Homo sapiens (assembly GCF_000001405.40). NCBI lineage: Eukaryota > Metazoa > Chordata > Mammalia > Primates > Hominidae > Homo > Homo sapiens. The sequence goes on along the minus strand of NC_000002.12, from coordinate 31,116,816 downwards.
TGCCTCGGCCTCCCAAAGTGCTGGAATTATAGGTGTGAGCTACCACGCCTGGCCAAATATTCTTTATTTGATGGTTATATAGTTCTCTCTATATATATGTATTAGATAAATATTCTTGATTCAACTTATCCTTGTCTTTCTTGGTTTATGTCATTTTTTGAGCTACTGGATCTGTTCAATCCTGAAATCATACACTATAATTTTATTTTAATCAAAATCTCCTACTATCAAGAGTTTTGGCTTTATAATATTTTAGTGCTATTTTGTTTTGTTCTTAGTGATTTATATTTTAATAAATTGTGCCTTAACATTCACCTTATCTGGTGTTAATATCGTCTGTCCTGCTTTGTTTTCATTTGCATTTGACCATCTATTTTTAATTTTTCTTTATGGCATAAAATGTTTCTTATAAATTACGTATAACTCTCTGTTGACCTGAATACATATTTTTATTTTTCAATACAATCTGATAATGTTTGTATTTTAATAAGAATGTTCAGCTTATAAAAATTAGTGAAATAGTAGATATAATTGAATATATACTATTTATTTTATTTTTATCTTTCTCCATTTTATTACTTTTGCTGGTTTGGCCAATTACTACTTCAATTTCTCTTTCCCTTTTTAATTTGGACATCTTACTATACCATCTATGCTGACTGTTATCTTTCTTTCCAGGACATTCGAAGGCATATTTCTATGCAATCAAGATATCAATGATGATTTTACATGCCCCTCCTTCTGCCAGGATGTTTTACTCACCCATTCATTATCATCCTAATAAATATATTTTGGAGACAGGATCTGTCTCTCTGTCACCCAGGGTAGAGTGCAGTGGTGCAGTCATAGCTCACTGTAGCTTCAAACTCCTGGGCCCAAAAGATCCTCCTGCTTCAGTTTCTCAAGTAGCTAGGACTAAGTTGTGCACCACCATGCTCAGCTAATTAATTTTTTTTATTTTAAAAATAGGGTCTTGCTATGTTGCCCAGGCTCACCTAGAGTGATCCTCCTGCCTCACAGGCGTGAGCCACTGTGCCTGGCAGCAGCCTAGTAAATTGAGCCTTTTATGAGTACTTTTTCTTCCTTACACTTGCATACCCTGTGGGCAGATGGGCCTTTAGAAGACTTTTATTCACCCTACCTTCCACTACCCCTAATTACTGGGCTTTGCTGAGATAATTTAACACTTCTAGAACTAAATGTTCAGATTTTCTTTGCAGAATCCCTCCTCTTTTTCAGGTATTCTTATTTGTCACTTCCATTACCTGTTTCCAGTCACTTTAATATTACCTAATTAGATTTAACTGTGCAGATTGCAAGGTTCATCACACCTCTGTTTTCTCTTCTTTTCATCTCACCCATCTTGAGATTTTTGTTTGAGTTCATTTATTTTTTGATCAGAATATCTTCTTGAGACAGGGTATGTGGGTTATGTTTTCTATGAACTCTTGTATCCGCAAATATTCTACAAATTAGACAGGTGGATAACATCTGCCTCGGACACTTGGCAATGTATGGATGGTTTTGTGGTTCGTTTGGGATTATTTTTTTTTTTGTAATTTTTTTGAAACAGGGTCTTGCTCTGTCACCCAGTCTGGAGTATAATGGCATGGTGATAGCTCGTTGCAACCTCAACCTCCTGGGCTCAAGTGATCTTTCCTGCCTCAACCTCCCAAGTAGTTAGGACTACAGACATGTGGCACTCTGCCTGGCTAATTTTATTTATTTATTTAGTAGAGATGGGGTCTTGCTAGGTTGCCCAGGCTGGTCTTGAACTCCTGGGCTCAAGTGGTCCTCCTGCCTCGGCCTCCTAAAGTGTTGGGATTACAGGCATGAGCCACTGTGCCTGGCCTGGATGGTTTTCCATTGTCTTCTGGATTCCAGTTTTGCAGATGGTGTATGACTGAAGTCATAATACTTTTTCTTTGTTAGTTACCTGTTCTCTCTGTTTGGAGCTCATGACATTTTCTCCTTATCTTTGGGACTTAGGAGGACACCTTGCTGTATGTCATTTCCCATGTCTCTTGCAAGAAGCTCAGTTCCATTTGCAGACTCAGGTCTTTCTTCAAGTCAGGTAAATTCTTTACTTCCATTTGTTAAATTCTTGTCTCTTTTGTATTTGTTCCTTTTTCCCCTTCTGGGATTATTGTTATTCACAAGCTGGGTTTTTAGAGTCTGTTCTCGAAATTTCTTTTTGCCCCTGATTTTTATTTCTTTGTATTTTTGCTCTTGTGTGTGCGTGTGTGTATTTTTCTACTTGATCTTCTAAGCCGCTAATTTAGGTCTCTACAGCAACCATCCTTTTCATCAACTACTCTGCTGAGCTTTTTAGTTTGAAAAATCATGATTTTTATTCCCAGAAAGTCTTTCTTGTTCATGTGCTGTAATTGAATACCGTTAAGTGCTATTATTATTTTTTGTTTGAGTTGCCCTTTGTCTCCTTTAGCAGCTCTGTTTCATCAACAGCTTCTCCTTCTAAGTGTTTTGTTTGCTCATGTCTCCAGCTTCTGGTCCTCTTTGTGGGTGGCTTTTTTTTTTTTTCCCACTTGTTGCAGCTTAGGACCAGCTGCCTTCAGGCAAAGTCAGCAGAGAATGGTGATGTGTGTAAGAAGTAAAGAAAGAGGAAAGAAACACGAAAGGTGGCTCGTCAGTTAAGACAGGTTTATTTTAGAGAAAACAAACCTGAGAAGAGCTTCTGGTGCAGTTAGGTCAGAGGCACATTCTTTTACAGACTAAGAGTTTTTAAGGATTCAGGGTGGGGGAGTTTATTAGAGGCTTAGGCTGCTTTTGTGTCTCTTTGTTGTGCTTATCTGGGAGGGAGAGTTGTGTGTCTGTTCCCATACATTGTTCTGCAGCTGCAGGCATATCCCCACTGCTTTTAGCTTCCCTATCTTAGTGCACCTGAAGGGAAAGGAATGTGCTTATTAAGGCCCACTGTTGTACTGGGGCCCATTGTATGAGGGTGAAATTTGGCAGTTACCCAAGAGACTTTCCCCCCACCTCCCTCTGTGCCTGAGTTGTCTTACTTGTGTTTTACTGTCTGCTCTTTTTGGCTGCTTGTAGTTAGAAGTGATTTCCTTGAAAATGCATGAGGCTAGAAAGGGAACTGAACTTAAAGTGGTGGTGTTTGTCCAAGATGATGATTCTCCTGCTCTGTCAGTGTGTTGCAGTCTCAGCTCCTATACCTTGTAGGAGCAGTACCACCAGCCAGGCTGTTGGTTCCTTGCAGCACCAGAAGGAATACCCTGAGCTACCCTAGCTCCAGGCTACAGAGGACTCAGTAGGCCTGTTCAGCTTCCCATCCCTTCCTCTGGGCCACAGAGACAGGAGATCCCCTCAGAACATTCTTGACGACTGGAGTTGCCTTCCTCCCAGGGGCCTCTCCTACTCTGGGCCAAGCTTTCCCCAGGATTCAGGGACAACTGATCTTGCTCCTGTGTCTGTTCTTAGATGCCATTCTCCAGGCTCTCTCTCAACCCTGCAATGACCTTCTCCACCCAGCCCGGCAGATCCTGAGGTCTCGCTTAGACTCCACACCTGTGTGCTGCTCTCAGTGGCTCCCTGCAGTTGAATTGGTGCTGAGAGAGACACCACTAGCTATCAGCAGGGGCACATTCAAACCACCATTATCCAGAATTGCTTCATCAATTTCTGAAATTTCAACAGTGAATGATAGAAACTTCCAAGCAAATATTCTTTTAAAATTTAGATTTCTTTGAAATCTAAGGAAAATGAGAAGGTTTCTATCTTGCATTTACTTCTCTATCCTGCCACAGTCTAAGAGAGGGGTTTCAGTGTTAGTTTGAAAGGATTTTATTCATTGGGAAGTGTTTCTAGAATTTTATTAGTAGCTGCATATAACACCACTGCTGCAGAGGCCTAATTCATCTAGACTGGAATTACTTCCTTACTGGGATCACTTGGGGACTTCTAGGTTTAATCCATCACAAAGTAAGAGTTCCAGAAGCACATGGGGATAAGATTCCATAACATGAGAAAGGAGGACTTGGTGAAGCATGAGGATCAAAGTGAGAATCTGGAGATAGCAAGGAGAAGGTTTGAAGTGACGTCAGGGCAGGCTGCAGGGGACTGTGGGCCCATGACAATGATAGTGGATCTTTGTCATACAGGGGATGGGGGACAAAGTGGATCCTGATTCACTGGGAAATCAGTTGGCCAAGATGTTATCATCAAATATCCTTTCCAATGAGAAGGACTGGAATATGACCTAGGTCATGGATGTTGGCCTTTTTCTTTGACGATCGTGACATCTAACAATAATTGGGTCATGAGGAGGGATTTGAGAGATCCTCATTTTTTAGCATGTGTTTCATACCAAACAGTGTGCCTGGTGCTGTCCCATACATCTCCTGTAATCTTAGCCAAGACTTTTTGTTAGGCAGCATTTTCACAGTTTACCATGAGGAATGAGATTCTGAGAAGCTAAGGGTCTATGAATACGAGGTCAGTAAATGCTATGGGACGTCTCACAAGCTGATCAGGAGGTTGGCTCCGATGTACCAGTGTTGTTGGCAAGCACAGGTTTTTGTCCAGGACTGGTTCACACGGTGCTTAGGCTAAGAAAGCAGCCACTGGCTGTTTGCTCTCCTGTGCCTGGAGCTGGGCTCATTGCTCTCTGGGAGGGGCATTTTGGAAGACACTTCTGCTGCATGGGCAGGAGCAGAAAGACAGCTGTGACCACCAGCCTTTCCCAGGGGACAGTTTTTTATGGCATTGGCAATTGAAATGGGAGCTCAGTTCCCAGACTTTGGAGGGTCCTCAATGGAACAAGGAGGGATACAAAGAAAAAAAAAAAAAAAAGCAAGTACACAGTTTTAGTGGGAGAAGGCATCCAGCCCCATCACTAGAGGCAACAGCTGTCTGTAGGACTGTCCTGTTGGTGACCGTACTTCTGATGGCCTATTTAAAACATCAAAAAATAAATAAAATATGAAAAAGAAGCAAACAAGATGTAGTAAAAGGAGGAAAGGATCAAATTGAAATTCATCTTGCATAGAAAAATATGACTAACATCGGATAAGGACCTTTGTGTGAAAAAAAAAATGTTTTAAGCAAATGTCTGTTTACCTGCAGCATCTCACTTTATTTTAAAAGGTAAAAAGCTTTAAAAGGCTGAAAAGGGATGATGCATGTCAGACTGTCATAGCGATGACGCCAGGACTCCCTATAAGGGTGGGTTCAGGGCTGAGCTTTTTTTGCAATTTGTGGTGGTTTGTTATAGTTTATTTTCTGCTTAATGGGTTGTAGTTTAAAGCCATGGGTAAAAGCCACACAGGGGGCTTATAGGAAAGTATCCCTAGTTAAACCAGCCTGGTAAATAAGCAGTTAGTCCTCCCTGCCTCTGCCTTTTGGCTTTCCTGTTGTTGATTCAGTGAACAAATTAGATTTCACAAATGTTTAGCAAACATCTGCTGTGTGTCCAGTGCTGTGCTCAGCATTATGGCAACGAAGCCTAAGCCCTGGCCCTTTTGCCTGGAGACTTGCGAAGTCCTGCAGGCTAGCCACCCCGGAAGGTCCCTGTCCTGGTGTCATTGAAGCTTGCTGATGAAGAATCCCTGGGTCTTTGTCCTTGATCCCTGCAGGCTTGTGCCCTGCAGGCTGGGTAGCTCAACAGGTAGCAGCCCCCATCTGCATCCTGGGTAGTCTGCTGGGGCTTCACAGCTGCAGCAGGGAGGATTGTGTTCTCTGCCTCATTCCAGCTGCTGTCTTTGAGAGGCCAGAGTGCCTGTTGTTTTAAATCCTCTAGCTCTGCTGAACAACCATAGGGGTAGGAGACAGTGTGTCTAACTCTGTCTTACAAGTGGGGTACCTGATTGAGGGAAGACCAGAATACTTGACTCCCAAATCATTCAGAGATTTGGAGTTAGAGTTCAAGTTCCCACCATTTTTCTCAACCCATCTGAGTCAGGATGAGTTATAGCTTTAAAAAATCTGACTTTTAAGAATGGTTTCACGTGAATCTAGTGCCTGTGTGAGAGTTGATAATACGTGTCACAGAGTCAGTTTCTCCCACTCAGAGAAAAAGACCAATCAGCTTTACATTAATTCCCCCCAGTTTTAGAACAGATGGTTTTCTGAGCACTTAGAAAAAAAAATTGTGGTGATTGCTACAGGGCAGGCATGGCTTGCCCAAGAACCAAGCATGCCGTGTGAACCTTGGTTCTTCTTTCCTGTGGTTGTTTCCCTGGGAGGTCAGGGAAGGACATAGGAAGGCTGACATCTCGCCCATTTGCTGCCATTCTCTTCCCTAGTGCTCTAAGTGGCTGCTGTGCCAGGATATGGCCACAGTCTTCATGCAAGCCAGCACCATGCTTGGTATTTCTTGGTAGGCTCTGATTTTGCTCATTGGAGGTTGCCTTCTGGGTAAGAAAGGTGATTCTTTCTTTCTGTGACTTTTTAAATCTTCGGCTTATTCAGTTTCTAAGGTGCCTAGTGTTTGGAAGTCATAGCCTTTGGAATCACTCATTGTCTACAGGTGGGACAACCATTGATGTGCTTAGCCAGAGAATAGTGAATAGAGTGCGTAGAAACAAGGGTCCGGAGGAAGCTGTGTGCTCTCTGCATTTATAATACACGGATTTAGGAGGTAAGAAAGGGAGAAGGAAGGATCTGGTGTGGCTATTCGGAGGCCTGGAATATTTTTTCAAAGAAAGGCAGTATAGAAATTAAACCAGTTTTTGAAAGATGAGGCTCAAAGACAAGGAAAGAATGGATTTGTTTTTAACGATTTCAAGTAGAATTGAGGCTGTTCCTGTGATTGTTGGAAATAAAATTGGTTAGAAAATGATGTCAGCAGAGAGTGGGGACTGTGAACCAGGAAAATAAATGAGCTCTGAAATCACCTTCTATTTTATAAATATTGTTTCTGGAGCTGAGAAAATTGAGACAGATTATTCCTTTTTCTCTCTCCCAAGCTATGGGTGGAAGAAGCCCTGAGTATCCCATTTGGACCTTGTGAGGAGCATCTCATCTTGTCCTGGCGCGCTAAGTAGCTTTGTCTGCATTTAGACACACTCCATTTCCCTTTCAAGGACCACTATCAGCAGTAGCCAATTACAAACACACCTCATAACACATTATTGAGACACACTGCACGCAAATAAGCTAGAGAGATGTTTAATGATTGTACCACATCGCGTCCATTACAATCTGTCCGCACTGCCGCAGGACGGTGGGGCCAGTTCCTGTGTGAGTGTCTCTATGTCTGTGTGTTTATGTGTATTTCATTTTCACTGCATCCTAATTAGACATAATTCGAGCCAAGCCAGTTTATACTCTCAAGGAAGGAAAGGGAGCATCATTTCACATTCTGACAGACTCCTTTTAAGCCAGACATTCCTTGTCTTTAGTTTTCTAAAAGTATCAGTGCTATTAGCAGCCTGAATTCATCTGAGAACAAGGGATGAGGCATTTTCCAACTCAATGGGTGGCTTCCTTCTGTTATCTGTTTCTCGTGGAGAAGTAAAAGGTGGGCAATTCAGAGAAATGTTACATAGGCAGTCACTTCCTCCACTCTTTCATCTGCTGTCTTGGTTTTGCAGTGAGAGTTTGCTGAATTTTATTTTCTCTGCCATTTGCCACTGCTGTTGGTTTTGAAGTAATGGCTGCATTTGGCCACAGTAACTAACAGCTGCATTCCAGGCCTGGGTGAAGTGGCAGCTGATTCACCAAGCACAAGGCCTCCCTTTATGGTGTTAGGGGTTGGAATCTGGGAATGAGATAACAGCTGTGCTGAGCAAGAGGTTAACCAGAATCCTCACTTGTTGAGGTTAGAAGCCTTTGAGTTGATCAGGTCTACTTGCCCTCTCCGTGGTTGATGTTGAGACTAGGGAGAGGAAGTTACTTTCTCAAGAGTATCAGCTGGTTAATGGCAGAACTTACTTAGAACCTGACTTCTATGCCCATAGTCCAAGCTCTTTTCAGTCTGCCTGTTCCAACCTGTGCTGTGCTTGCCTTTGTAAAATCCAAAGCTCAGTAGGGAGCAGGGAGCTGCCGACAGGAATGCTGGGTGCCTGCTAGACCCTCCAGCCATGACAGCCATCACAGAGCATGCATATGATTAATGCTTATATAGTCCTCATTCCCCAAGGACACTGTTTGTGTGCTACAGAGTCTTCTGAAAAAGGGCATATGATTTCAAAGGATTATTTTATCAAAGGATTGTTTTTATCCTCATTCTTTTGGAAAAACCGAATGCCCAATGCTCCAACCAGTGTTACCTTTCTTGCATTTTGCTCTTGAAGATCTGGGCCTTCCTTGAAGGAGTAGCATAGGGAAGAGAGAACAAACCCTTGTGTTTGCCTTTAAGTCAGCTAGAGATGTTTTCAGCCTGATGGAAAATTAAACTGGGTTAGGTCTTCTAGAGCCCGCCTGTGTAATTGAGCGGGTGACGTGTCCAGCCTCCCTAACTCGGAAAAAACTTACTGTTCACACTTCATTCATACGTTCCTTAGTCCTTGGCAAGCAAATTGCTTTTGAAGAATTTATGTTTCCATCTGCCACTTCTATTAGTAAGGGCAATATTTGTGACTGATGTAGTGATGGTGGAGTCCTGGGGCCCTGGTGATTTGATGTTGTCCATCTGTAGCCTGAAACTTCAGGGTTCATGTGGGGTCAGAGGCAGGAGTCTGGCCTTGGTATTTCCTGAATTACACTGCCTGGCTGGGGAGCCTATGTTTGCTCACAGCCAGGCAGATGGTGCCAAGTAGTGGCGTGTTCTTACTGCTACTTTTGCAGCCAGCCAGAGATATGAGACAGGACAGCTAGCTAATTGGTATTTTGAAGAATCTGCTGTGTGTTTCAGCGTGAGTGTGTGGGTTGCTGGGGAGGTGGTGAGAGTCTGAGGTGTGGGGTAAGATCCTAGTCCTAAAGAATCAGCTGTTTTTTTGGCTGATGGTCTATGGGAGAGCAGCCCTCAAGCTTTAGGGGAAAGTTAAAGGAGAAACAGGACCGAGGTGAAATCATCAGCACCATGGAAAGCACCATGTTGCTTGACGTTTAGGAAACCCTTCATAATGGCAAACAGACTTGGCCTCATGTCTGTGCCTTCCCTACTGTTCTTTGATAAGAAGAAGCTAATGAGAAGGACAGCATTTTTTTCCTTCCCATTCTGCTAATAGAGAGACTGAGTCTCAAGAGGTGACTCGTTTGAGATGTAGTGGTGAATCAGTGGAATAGGCAAATAGGACTTCCTGTATAATGTGGCTGCTGTACAAGACAACCTCTTCTGCTCTTCCTCCTGGATACCATTACAGTCTCCTTGTTGCTGGACACAACAGCAAAGAGAACAATAGAAAACTCCGAAATGCCATTTTCAGTGGAATTAGAGGATAGATACAATCTGTGGAATGTGTAATGTGTGCAAGGGCTGTCCTGAGCAGGAGGGTTTGGGAGAGGCCATGAGGGGGAAGTAGAGGTTTAGGAGAGTACCTGGTGGGCTCAGGAATAGCAGGTGGCAAAGAGTGCCAGAAAAAATACACATCCTGGATATAAGGGGCATCCTGAAGAGGCAAAGCAACATCTCTTATTTGTAATCAACGCAAATAAGGACTAGGGTGAGCAAAACTGAAGAAACGTACCTCCTGGGCCTGCTTTGATTCAGAGAAGCAGAGGAGGTGCATTTATACAAAGGATCATCCAGAAGACACCTAACTGCAAGAAACAATGTTTTTGGCAGCAAATAAAAGAGGCTTCCTTCTTTCCTTCCTTAACATGTTTGTTGAGATATAACATACAGGAAAGCACACAAATATTTTTCAGTTTGATAAACTTTTGTGTAACCACTATTCAGATCAAGGTACAGAATCTTTTCAGCAGCCCAGAAATCTCCATGTGCCTCTTTCTAGTCATTAGCTCTCCTCCACAAAGAAAGCTTACTTCAGTAATGAAAGTCTACCCTGGGCCCTCCTTCCATCCTCAGAACTTCCTGCAAAGAAATGATCCAAGAAAGCCCATCTCATACAACAATAAGTAATAAAAAAGAAAGTAGGATCATTGGTAGATTAGAAGCAATGATATTAGGGGGAAGAATGTCAGCAAGAGCCACGAAAATTACCCCCAAATAAGGAACATTCCCAGGAAAATAATTTCAGGGAGCAGATGAAAAGTCTAATCAAGTATTTCACAGTGAATTTAAAGAACTCAACAAAGCAATCATTTCTGTGAAGAAAGACCCAACTTGCAGAGGTAAATGCTTGGGAAAGGATGACAAAATGGCAAGAGGTGGTGAAATGTGAGCTGGCAGAACTCAAGGAGGAAATAAAAGAAAAAAAGGCAAATTGGTCTCAGAAATGAAGATGAAGTTGGAAGAATCTCAAGGGAAAATAGACACTGTGGAAAATGCAGTGTGGAACATAGATGAAAGGTGAATAAATGAAACATAAATAAGGGAAGCATTAATAAAGATTAGAGAGAAAATGATTGACATAGAAGACAGGCAGTGGAGAGCCAGCAGAAGCATAATTTTAGTTCTTGAAAGAAAACAAAAAATAACAGACATAAAAAATAGACACACAGAAAACACACACAATGGAACATATTTAAAATATTAGGAAGGCTTTCATGATCTAAAAGAAGACTTAAATCTAAATGTTGAAAGAGCACGAATTTGGGTGTTGGGCAAAATTATCCAGAACAGCTCATACCAAGATTATAGCCTTGGGAAGTTTTAGACACGAAAGATAGGGAATAACCCCTCCCCTCCCCTTGCCTCCTTTTCCTTCTATGAAAGCAGGGTAGAAAAGTGGGTGTGGAGGTGGTGGGCAGGGGACATGGCTAGAATGGTTGGAAGATTGGTTAAGAGAAAGGATAATTTATTGAGCAAGTAAATAAATATAAAGAGGATAATAGGAACCGTGTTTTTTACTGTTTGAAAGGGGATTTCTAAACATGGAAAGAAGGAAGGCTAGAAAAGTCCTAGCATGCTGGATTGGAATTAGAAGTGTCAGTATGTACATATATACATACATTTTTTTCTTAACTCCTTCGTCCGAAAGCAGTGGAACTCCAGTAGCAATGAGTGCATGGTGAGTACTCAGACCTTGGTTTCTTTTTTTCTTTTTCTTTTTTTTTTGAGACAGGGTCTTGTTCTGTCACTCAGACTGGAGTACAGTGGTATGATCTTGGCTCACTGTAACCTCTGCCTCCAGGTTCAAGCGATTCTTTTGCCTCAGCCTCCCAAATAGGTGGGATTACAGGCATGGGCCACCACACCTGGCTAATTTTTGTATTTTTAGTAGAGATGGGGTTTTACCATGTTGGCCAGGCTGGTCTCGAACTCCTGACCTCAAGTGGTCTGGCTGCCTTGGCCTCCCAAAGTGCTGGGATTACAGAGATCTTGGTTTCTAAATAGTGCCCTACACTGCAAGTTACCAGGGGGCCTCAGAGAAGTGGCTAACTTAAGGGATAGGGCAGAAAAAGTATAAAATGAACCTGAAAGACCTTGTCTTGCCAGAAAGTCAGGAAATGCTCAAGAAAAGATGGGGATGTGTCAAAAGGACACAGGAGCTGGCTTGAAGGACTTTCCACTGACCAATTGAGAACAATATGAGCATCAAAGTAAATATCAAATAATCAGAGTATTAGATTACAACCTATTGAATAAAATAGGAATCTGTAAATCCATACTGTTATAAATAAGTGAATGAATAGATACATAGACAAGTAAATAAGTAAGTGCAAGAGAAGAGACTCTTCCTTACCGAAAAATGACAACTGATAAATGTAGAGAGAATGATGGAGATACATATTCACCACTTGGTCACCGTAACTGTGGTAATTGGTAGAGATTGGTAGTTGCTGATGGGTGCTGTCCTGTGGGTGGAGGTTTCATAAGAAATAGCATATTGGCACAATATTAGTAAAGCTTCCCACAAAAGTGTAACCAAATAACATGGAAACATGGTAAAATTTCAGTGGCAAAATTTGGCAGACACCAACTTGACCAGATGATGAAGGTTAACATCACTAGTGGTGGACAGGTTGAGCTAGTGTGCCCCTGGATGTGATGGGCTGAGAAGAACACAGCATCATTTCTGTTGTGCCAAGAATGCATGGCTTGTATCTGGTTGTGAGGAAACATCAGATGGACACAGGCTCTACAGAAGGAAAGGTCTGTACTGTTTCAGACTTTCAAAGATTTGAGAAACAGAGAAAGACTGAGGAATTCCTCCAGACTGGATGAGACTGATGAGAGATGACAACTAAATGCAACATGTGTTGGTAGATAGGATCCTGGACCTGGAAGTGAAAAAGAGACATTGTTGGGATATTTCAGAAATTCGCATAGGATCTGTGGACTGGGTCTGTGCTGTATCATTGTTGATTTTTTGACAAGGAGTGCTGTATGGTGACTATATAGGAGAAGGGTCCTTGTCTTTGGGAGGCATGCACTGGAGTATTTAGAGATGATGGGAACATGTGAACAAAAATGTATATCTGTTTCTATCTTCTGTCTCTACAAAAATGGGGAAAATATAGCAAAATATAAAATGTCACCATCTAGAGGATTTGTGTGGAGGAGGTGTAAGAATTTGTACTGTTCTTACAACTTTTCTTTAGGTTTGAAATGACTTCAAAATTAATAAAGAATGGTGAAGTAAACAATAAATAAAAAGAGAGACAGAAAGAAAGACTCCATTGGGAATCCAGGCAAAGAGATCAAGTCACTTATGAGGAGAAAAATACCAGGTTGGCCACAGTTTTTTCTGCAGCAACTTCCAAATACCCAGAAGACAGCGAAACAACATCTACAAGATAAGCAAAGAAAGAAAGTGTGAGCCAACGATTTATATCCATTCTAGCCATCTTTTAAGTACAAAGACAATTGTAAGACAATTTTTGGACATGCAATAACTCAGGGAATATTGTTCCCATGAGCCCTTCCTGAACAAATTAGTAGAGGGTGAACTTCAGTCAACAAAGTGAAGATGGAGGGTGAGCATTGAATATTTTTAACTGTAAAACTAAACTAAAACTAAAAGTAAGACAAGTATGAGGATTAGAAGAACAGAGGAGAATGTAAGTGTTCTGTGCCCTGGTGATGTAGAAATGACACAGCCAACAAATATTGAAAGGCAAAGGGGGAAAAAGGAAGTTCTCTGAATGCCTCATTCTATAATAGCAGGGAGTAAAAAGGTATAATTGAGAGCTGACAAATGAAGTAATATAAGCATAATTATACTTAATAAATGGTAGACACTTAGAAAGAGGATGTTATTGACTAAAATCAGTTGGTGGAAGTGAGACAGTAGCATTGCCAGAGTAAATTGTGCCTAGGGGCTATGTAATGTGTGTGTGTGTGTGTGTTTCCTTCTTCTCTATACGCAGCTGCCATTGTGTTAACATCTCTGTGCACTTTCACAACTGGCTGTCAGGATGTACGTCTCTTTCTCTCTCCACCCCAATCATGCCTTTTCTATGCTTCTGTGGAAAGAACAGTGAAAGGGAATACACCAACTTTATCTTTGCTTGTAATGTAGAGTTAATAAGTCTTGTCTAGAGACATAGGTTAAGATTATTATATCATGTTGTAATTACGAATGTTACCACTAGAATAAAAACACAAACCTTCCCAGAAGAATCACACTGGAAGAACAATCACAGAAAGACGAAAATAATGCCAAGAAACCCAGAAGACATAATATAAAATGAGATCTAGGAATAAGCCTATTTGTCATATCTAAATATAAATGAATTTAACTTACTTTTTAAGAAGAGTTTCAGAAAGGATCGCACACCACAACCCAATTCTAAGTTGTTTATAGAGATGCCCCTAAAGGAAAGTGATACAGGAAGGTTGAAAATAAAAGGATGAGTGAAGGAACACCAGCCGAATGCTTTAAAATGTTAATTTAAAATAGAGATATAAAAAGTAGTAGTTATGAACTTGCATTAGACAAAGTGGAATTCAGATTAAAATGCATTAAATAAGATAAAGGAACTATGTATAAAAGGTACATATCACAATGAAAAAAACAGCAGTATTGAAAACACAGAAATTTTAGGAGATGCAAGGAGAAAATAGACGAAAACACGCTGGTAACGGATCACTTTAATTTACATGTCTCAGTCTCCAGATACCTAGACAAAGAATAAAAATCAATATGGAAGCTCTAATTAACATAGGTAATAAAGTAGATCTGGTTGATAAATAGCAAACCCTGTAGATTAAATGAAGAAAATATATCTTTCAAGGGTCTATGAAACATTCACAAATATTGACCATCTATTAGGGAACATAGATAACCTCAATAAATCCCAAAAGGTAGAAAAAATACAATATTCTCTGATTACAGTGCAATTAAACTGGAAATTAATACTAAATCATAAAACCAAAAGCCCATTTAACTGAAAGTAAAATCCAAACAAAACAAAAAATACTCAATGCATGGCTGAAAGAGGAAAAGAAAAACTGAAATTGCAGATTTTCTGGAAAACAATTAATGAAATCACTCAATAGCAGAACAAATGTTATATAGCTAAAGCAGTACTCAGAGGAAAACTGATGGCTTAAATATATACACAAAAGAATGATCAAACATGAATTAATCATCTAAGTCAAGAAGCTATATCAGAATAAAATGAAATATTGCAGAAGGAAAGCAGAAAAAAATAAATAAAAGAGATTAATGAGTTAGAAAACAAAGCAGTTAAAATAAATTTCAAAGCTGGTTTGGGGGTGTATTAGTCCATTTTCATGCTGCTAGTAAAGACATACTCAAGACTAATTTATAAAGGAAAGAGGTTTAATTGACTCACAGTTCAGCATGGCTGGGAAGGCCTCAGGAAACTTACAATCTTGGGGGAAGGGGAAGCAAACATGTCCTTCTTCACATGAAGCAGCAAGGAGAAGTATGAGTGCCCAGCGAATGGGGAAGCCCCTTATAAAACCATCGGCTCTCATGAGAACTAATTCACTGTCACAAGAACAGCAGCATGGGGGAAACCACCACTATGACTCAATTATCTCCACTTGGTCCCTCCCACAATGTGTGGGGATTATGGGAACTAAAATTCAAGATGAAATTTGGGTGGGAACACAGCCAAACCATATCATGGGGAAAAAAACAACAATAAAATAAACTACTAGTTAATCTAATCAAGAAAATGTGGGAGCAAGTGCAGATGCATACAATAAGGAATGATATGTGGAGAACAGTGGCATAAACAGGAAACTAAAGGAATCAGGAGACTACTTTGTTCAGCTCTATGCAAATAGGTTTGAAAAGTGGATTTTTTTCAAGAAAATAAAAATTACCCAAATGGGCCCAGAAAGGAATCCAAAATTTCTAAGGCAGAAATTTTTTTAAAAAATTTAAATAGGTATACATTCTTCAAAGAAAAATGCACTAGTCCAGAGCATAGAACTCTGTTCTAGAGCATAGAAAAAGAAGAGAAACAAGCATAACTTTTACCAAAACCTGACAAAGTAGGCACACATGGAAATCCAAAGACTAATCCCACTTATGAATATCAATTCAAAGATCATTTAAAAAGTAGCAAAATAATTTCAGCAGTATATTTGAAGACTAATCCATCATAATCAAGAGGGTTTTATTCTTGGAATGCATATATGGTTTTATATTAGTGAACATTAAGAGAAAAAAGATATTATCTTCATAGATACTGAAAAGAGCTTTGAGAAACTTCAATGATCATTTTAAAATTAAAAAATACACTCAAGAAAGCTTGACTGGCTAAGGTTATTCTGGTGGTCCCTGACTCATGATGCTTTGATACAATCTTTTGATTTTATTATGGTAAAAAAAGAATATGCCTTCAATAGAAACCATACTTTGAGTACCCATGCAACCACTCTGTTTTTCACTTTCAGTACAGTAGTGAATAAATTATCGGAGATATTTAACACTCCATTATAAAATAGGGTTTGTGTTAGATGATTTTGCCTAATCATACGCTAATGTAAGTGTCCTGAGCTCACTTAAGGTAGTCTTGGCTAAGTTATGATGTTCAGTAGGTGAGGTGGATTAAATGCATTTTTGGCTTATGATATTTTCAACTTATGGGTTTATCAGGACGTAACTCTACCATAAGTCTAGGAGCATCTGTATAGTTCAGGTATTTTTTTTTTTTTAACAGGCTAAAACACATCCATCTCAGGCTATAAGCCAGCATTATGCTTATTGAGGAAACACTAAAGGAATTATCACTAAAGAACAAGGATCTATGCTATTAGTACTGTTACTCCTCATTGCACAGGTGATACTTACCAATGCAATTAGACAAGCAAAAACAGTAAAAAAGAGAGGGAAGAGGCAGTTGTTGCTGTATGAAGATGCTGTGATTGCATGGCTAGAAAACAAAAGATAATTAACTGAAAAACTGTTTCAAACAATAAAAGAATTCCATAAACTAACAATGTGCAATAATTAGTAAACATAAATTAATACTTTTCACATATACAAACACCAAACAGAATACAGTAAGTCCTCAACATTGAGGATAGGTTCTTGGAAACTGCAACTTTAAGCAAAATGACATGTAACAAAACTGGTTTTTTTCTCATCAAAGTTATAACAAAAAGATGTTGAAGGAAATGGTATTCAAGGACTTATTGTACATCATTGTGCTTAAAGTCACAGTTTCCAACCACCTATCAATGATGTTAAGTGAGGACTTACCGTATATTTTTAGAGGAAGAGCCATCACTTACAATAACAACAAGAAATGTAAAAGAACTAATAATAAATTTAAACAAAAAATATCCAGGGTCTATATGAAGATTTAAAAACACTACTAAAGTATATAAAAGGATCCTGAAGCAAATGGAAAGATTGCTCATGGATGGAAAAACAATAGACATCATTCTATTTAAGTTAATTTATAAATCAAACACAATCTAAATAAAAGTATCAATAGATAATTTTCTAAAACTAGTTAAGTTTGTTTTAAAGTTCAAATAAAAAGGTAAATAAAAATAGAAAAATTCTGAAAAAACCCATATGAGGTGACTGGCGCTACTAGATATTGAATTTATTATAGTGTGTCATTTATTGAAACTGTGTGCTACAGAGACATGCACACATAGTTAAAAGGAACCAAGTGGTTAGTCCAGAAATAGATCCAAATGCATATGATCATTTAGTATTTGACAAAGGTAGCATCTTAAATCATTGAAGGAAAAGATTAAATATGTTCCACTGGGATATCTGGTAGCCCTGTGGGTGAAAATAAAATTGTATCCATACCTCACACCATGTATACACCAAGATAAGATTCCAAATGAAAACGAAATGTAAAGGTAAAAGCAAGACTATGAAAGTACCAGAAGGAAACACACAGGGTGCCTTTCTAACCAAGACTTAAATCTTGAAACCATAAAATAAAAATCTGATATAACTGAGTAAATAAAAATTGAAGGAAAAAAATCTTCTAAGTAGCAAAAAGAATCTACATAAGTAAACTGAAAAGACACATGACAAAGGCCTAATCAACTTAAATAAAGAGTTCCAAAGGGTCAATAAAAATGAATTTCAATCCAATAGAAAATAATAGGCAAAGGATATAAACGGGCAATGCACAGAAAAAGAAATATGAATAGACCTAAATTTGTTAAAAGATGTACTTAACATTACCTCATCAAAACTCAAAGCTATATAGGAATAGCATATTTTATCTATCAGATTGCAAAATGAAGAAAAAAGGGCAAGCTGCACAATAGTGTGTATTCTATACTAACTTATATATAAAAAGTGGAGGCATTGTAGAATTAGAATAAATTCAGAACAACATGGGTTTGAACTATGCAGATTCACTTATATACAGATTTTCTTGTGCCTCTGCCACCCCTGACACAGCAAGACCAACCCCTCCTCTTCCTCCTCCTCCTCAGCCTACTGTATGTGACGATGAGGATGAAGATCTTGATGATGATCCTCTTCCGCTTACTGAATAGTAAATATATTTTATCTTCCTTGTGATTTTCTTAGTAGCATTTTCTCTTCTCTAGCTTACTAGTTGTAAGACTACAGTATATAATACATATAACACATACACATGATTACAAAATATGTGCTAATGGGCTGTTTATGTTATTGGTAAGTCTTCTGGTGAACAATAGGCTATCGGTAGTTAAGTTTTGTCAAAAGTTATGTGCAGATTTTCAACTGAGCAGGAGATTGATTCCCCTAACCCCCACACTGCTCAAGGGTCAACCGCATTTATACTTACATCTATTTGTATAAGAAATTCTGGAAAGATAATACAACAGACTAACAATGGTTTCCCTTAAGGGTTGTGACATGAACTGGGGATGGGCAAGGGTAGAAGGGAAATGTTTCATTGCATGCCTTTTTAATTTTGAACCACATAAATGTATTTTTTAAAGGGATTATTATATTAATAGGATTCTGACATAGTCACTGAGGTATTCATGTCAGAAGATGATGCACATCCTCTTGTCCTCCACATACAGAAAAGTATATAAATGCTTCTATGCCAACCCAGTGAAATTGCCCAAAGGCTTTCCCCCGCTAATAAGCCATGAAGGATAGAGGCAGAACTCCTTAGAGCCCACAGTGAGTTTTGCAGGTAAAATCAGCATTATCTTGAATCACTAACCTTTATTAGGCACTGGAGTGTTTGTTTGCAGAATGCAGTACATTTGCTGAGTATGCAGTTTGGATCTCCCCTGATAATATGTATGGATCTGGATCAAGTGTTAAATGCTTGTTTTGCAGCTTTTTAATAGAGACGTAGAATGTGATTGAGGCCAGCTTGAGATTACTCAGTTCCCAATTATAATGTAAATTTGAGAAGTTCTGATCAAGTAGAGCATAGGGCACAAAATGGTGGAGGTGGAACAGATCATGGAAATTAACTAGGCAAACATCCCCATTTCAGCAGTTAGTAAATACTCCAGCCTGGGTAGAAGGTACTCAGCTAGTTAGTGCTGAGCTTGAACTAGAAGCTGAGGTTCTGAGTGCCAGTTCTGGGTTCTTTCCCATCTGTTCATTTCCCATGACACAAAAGTCTTGGCCAGTCAGTACAGTCTTGCTCTACAAACAGGACAGGGATCTTCAGCATCAGGGGAGTGAGGGCCACCTGTGTTAGGAATCCAATACAGGAAGCCTGCTGGGTGTGAACAACAGGAAGTGTGACCCAAATAGGCTTAAACGAAATAAGAATTAGTGAACATAACTGAAAAGTCCAGATAATAATACCCTGGTCCTTCTCTGTAACAAAAACCCTATTTTATTTTCTTATAGGCCATAACACTCTCAAAAGTATTTCATTCAATTTTTTTTTTTTTTGCTTGTTTGTTTATTTGGGTGCTCGATGACTGCAGGGGCCTTGTCTGCCTTGCCTTCATATCTCACATGCCTAGAGCACATCTTAGGTGCTCAATAAATACTTGTGGAAAGAGTTAATTCTCTGCCCTTGGAGTGGAGAGTGCAGGATGGAGCAAGCACATGGTCTGAGAGTGGGGAGAGGGATTATTCCCCAAAAGGCAATGAAATGTAGCAATGGATGCTAGGAACCAAAAGATAACAAATGTCCACTGTGCCTCAAAGACTTTCAAGTAATCTCCTTTAGCTCTTTTCTCCTTCCTTGTTTCCTAGAAAATGTCTTCACCATTTTTGTATTTTCCTTTATACTGAACTGAACTCAGGAGGATGGGAAGAAGATTCCATCACTGTATCTAGTTATCCTATCTCACATAAGCAGGATTGCCTTGAGACCACTGGCTACTATACAGAGACCCTCTCCCTCTTCCCCAGCTAGAGGCTCATGACTGTTTTTCTTTGATTTAGAACCAGCACTATGCTAATCATGTGTGGTCTCAAAGCAAGGAAGGAAGAATATGGTTGTAGGAAGGCACTTTTAATGGGACGCGATTAGAGGATGGGAATCCAAAGTAAAGTGGGGACCTGGATTCCTGAGTTATCTTCAGGGATCATCTGCCATTGCTGTGCCTCTTCACTTAGATGAGTTGTGATGTGGTTGGATGGTGGTGGTGGTGCTGGTGGTAGTGTGTTGGTGGTTACCATCTTCCTCATATATACATTTCCAAGGTATTCAGAAAAGGTTTTCATTTAGGGCATGTATTATCAGAAGACTCCAATATTAAACCAGGACTGTGATGTTTTAATTGTGTGGTCGTGGACACATGATTTACCTTCTTATTGTCAGGTTACACTTCTACAAAGCAAAGATAATGGTAGCATCTTCCCTATATATTTCTCAGGATTGGTGCAGGGATCAAATGAGACAAGGCATGGACAAGTGCTTTGAAGACTGTAATGCACAAGACAGAGGCTCATCTTTTAATGACTCTGTTTTATCCTCATAAACTTATACATCTTAAAGACTGTCTTAGATTAAAGCCCTCAACTTCATAGGAGGAAACTGAAGTGACAAGAGACTTAGCCAGGGCCATATGCTTAGCTAGTAGGGGAAAATTTTTCCTAGCCACTGTGAGAAGACATATACTGTAATAGGCAGAATAATGTGCCCCCAAAGTTGTGCACATCCTAATTCTCAGAAACTGAATATGGTAGGTTACATGACAAGAGGAAGTTAAGGTTGCAGGTGAAATTAAGTTGCTAGTTAGCTGATCTTAAAATAAGGAGAGTATCTTGGACTACCCAGGTGAGTCTGATGTAATCACAAGAGTCCTTAAAAGTGGAAGGAGGAGGCAGAAGAGGAAGTCAGAGTGATTCCATGTTAGAGTGACTCGATCCATTGTTGCTGGCTTTGAAGATGGAGATGAAGAAAAGAGGCCATGAGCCAAGGAATATGGGTGAACCTAGAAGGTGGAAAAGAGAAGGAAACAGAATCTCTCCTAAGAGCCTCTAGAAGGAACGCACCCTTGCTGACACCTTGATTTTAGCTCAGGGAGGCCCATATTGGATATGGGCCTAATCTAGGCAGGATAATAAATATGTCTTGCTTTAAGCTACCAAGTTTGAGGTGATTTGCTATAGTAGTGATGGAAAACTAATATAGGTACCATTTCTCAGATTTTACAAATGAGAAAACTAGGCACACAGAGAGACTTTTCTTGTCATATGTCTTACAGCTACTACGAGAACTTTTTATAGGGAAAGTAGTTGATTTGTTGAATATAATATATTCAATAACCATTCTATGGGAATAGCCTGGGAAAGATTAGGACATCAAATAGCTGGCCTTGGAAATAAATTTTCTTCTCTCTGTAGCCAGCCTGCACTACCCTCATGGAGGGTCAAAAGCTTCAAAATTTCTTTTTCAGTGATCTAGTGTCCTGATGAGTAGGAAGTGACTTTTTTTTAGGACCCAAGAACATCTTAGGGGCAAGTAAAAAGTAGAAAGTCAAGACAGGGATTGCTCTTATTAAATGGAGATGGAGACTGGCATATGACCCTTTGGGGGATGATTTCTTGTGTGTCCAGTTATTACTGAGTGGGAAAAAAGTGGCTTAATACAGAACCCACGCTATGTCAGATACTTAGCTTGCAATTGCTCCTTTGTCAGGGCTGATGCACATTTGGTAGCACAACTGGAGCAAGGTTGAAATTTGTAGACTATGAGGGCTGGGTGGGATCCTGCTGGTCACCCCATGTTGTCTTTGTGTTAGTGACATTAAGATATCCAACAACAAATCTCTATCAAGATTAATTCACCTCTGTGTTGTCTTCTCTGGGTTGTTGCCCCCTGTTTTACTTTTTCCACTCCCACTGTTGTTTCCATGACTTGACTCTGCTTCTGGTACCTCTTTAACTCAGCTCATCACTGGTACTCTTAGTGCTCAGCTAGAATATGTTCATTGACTTCACTCCAGACTTGACATTTTTGTGGTTATTCTTGGGTGTCAACTCCTAGCCTCTTCCTGATTTTGATCTTGATATTCCTATCTTGTGGCTGTGACCTGGCTCCTGGTCCAATCTGTTCATTGGATAGAGGAGTTACTGTGGCCAGGGAAGGGAGATGACTTGCCTGGATCCCAATATCATTGGGGCAGCAATGGGTCCAGAGCTCAGTTTCTCCTACTCTATTCCCTGCCCCTCATCTGGTATTCACCTTACAGTGAGTGTCTGTATGGGCCAGAAACAGCCTATGCCTTCCAATCTCAAGACCAGCCTCATGTTCTTTGGGAAATTACTTAATAGTGTATTTCCATTCTCTATGTGCAAAATGGGGAGAGGAGAGAAGAAGCTGAGCAACACTTGGCTAGTGGTGAAGTCTGGCATGTGGAATAAACTGGATCAAAGGAGGCCCAAGGCTATCCTATTGCTGGAGCAAAAAGAGTGATCAAGAGCCTCTGGCCACATATTGCCCATGTCTGTTTCCTGTGGTTCTCTGATCACACAAACAGTTATGGCCTCCAAATGGCATCGGGTCTGTCATGCATGTCCAAGTGAAGAGACCACCAAACAGGCTTTGCGTGAGCAATAAAGCTTTTTAATCACCTGGGTGCTGGTGGACTAAGTCCAAAAAGAGAGTCAGCAAAGGGTGGGATTATCATTAGTTCTTATAGGTTTTGGGATAGGCAGTGGAGTTAGGAACAATGTTTTGTGGGCAGGGGATGGATCTCACAAAGTACATTCTCAAGGGTGGGGAGAATTACAAAGAACCTTCTTAAGGATGGGGGAGATTACAAAGAACCTTCTTAAGGGTTGGGGAGATTACAAAGTACATTGATCTGTTAGGGTGGGGCAGAAACAAATCACAATGGTGGAATGTCATCAGTTAAGGCTATTTTCACTTCTTTTGTGGATCTTCAGTTGCTTCAGGCCATCTGGATGTATACGTGCAGGTCGCAGGGCATGTGATGGCTTAGCTTGGGGTCAGAGGCCTGACAGGGTCAAAGCTTGGAGCTAGGGTAGATCTTATTGCACTAAAGTAAATGTGAATCACTTGGATTTAATGGCTTTCCAGTGAATCAGCATGATTGAGAAGGACCTCTCAGGTCCTGCTTGGGGTACTTCAGTGTAGGACTTGGAAGAGCCTGACGGCTCCACTGTTCCATGCTCACAAATGTTTTTCTTAATAGGAGATTGCAAGTCTGCAAAAGTGCTTTCAGTCCATTTGCATTCAACACCTGCTGGATGCTACAGAAATAAAGTGATGTATACATGATAGATAATAATAAGAAATGTAGCACTTGTCATTTGTTAACGGTGCTATTCATTATTTTTCACAACAGAGTGGCGTGATAGATTCAAGTTATCTTCCTAAAGAGGAGAGAAGCAAGTGCGATGTGTGCAAGTTGACATGCCATGCCTGTGGTCTGTGCTGTGGATGTTTAGTCCCAGGCTCCCCAGACACTGCCTCTCAAGGGGACATGGCCTCTCCTCTAGATGGCTAATAGAACCTTAGATTCCCAAGGCTGGAAGAGACTGAGGACACTGGCCAGGTTGTCAAGATCTGAGTCTTGTTCCACCATAATGACATTACTTCAAGTTCTTTAAGCTGTAAGAGAATCCATCTCAAGCTAGCTTCTGCAAAATGAGACTAATCTGTAGTAACCCAGAAGTTTGATCATGGAAACCAGACCTCATGAAGAGTTTGGAGCCAGGGACTGCAAGGCTGTTGGGAGCCCAGGACTAACTCTTTCTCCATCCCATCTCTCTCCTTCTCTCCATAAATCTGCTTTATGCTTCTTTCCTAGTAAGCCAGCTTTCCCTGCTCCTGATCCCACATGGTGGGCAGAGATATTACACTTTCAGCCGTACACATAGCACCCTGTCCTCTCTCTCATTCTCACCCTGATCTGCTCTCAAGTTCTTAGGTAAAGGACCCTGATGGAACGAACCTCAGACAGGAGCCACTTCTGGTTCAGTAAACTGTGTTAGAATCATATTGTACAAACATAGCATCCAGGAGCCTACCCTTGTGGATTTTCATGGTGTAGTTAAGGAGGTCTTTGCAAAATGGGCAATCTATTAGGTTGATGCAAAAGTAATTGCAATTTTTGCCATTAAAAGTAATGGCCCAAACCACAATTACTTTTGCACCAACCTAATGAAAGGGTACCCATGTTAGTGACCCAATGGTCATCTTGCATTGATCACTACATTGTATATTCACTACACTGTACATTTGTTTTTCTGTGAATACATGTAATGACAGGGAACTCATCCCCTGAAACAGCTCAGACAGCTGAAGATGATTTTTTATATTGACTGAAATGGGTCTCCAGTCCCAGGTTGACTTTTTGAAGCCATGGAGAGGGAGCCTTATCTCCTTTCTTCATGACAGGTGTTTGGATAATTGAAGACACCCTGAAATTATTGACCATTCTTCCCGTGACACATGTCTGAGTCTCAGCATGTTCCTGGTTGTTCTTCAGAATATGATCTGTTTTGTCTATATCCCTCTGCTGTAGATTGAATATTTGTGTCTCCACAAAATTATTATAATGAACTTAACCCCAACTGTGATGATTTAGGAGGTAAGGCCTCTGGTAGGTGATGAGTCATGAGGGTGGGACCCTCATGAATAGATTAGTGCCTTTATAAAAGAGATCTGTATTAGTCAGGGTTCTCTAAAGGGACAGAACTAATAGGAGATATATATATATATATATATGAAGGGGAGTTTATTAAGGAAAATTGGCTCACATGATCACAAGGTGAGGTCCCACAATAGACTGTCTGCAAGCTGAGGAGCAAAGAAGCCAGTCTAAGTCTCAAAACCTCAAAAGTAGGGAAGCCAACGGTGCAAGCTTCAGTCTATGGCCAAAGTCCTGAGAGCTCCAGGCGAACCACTGGTGTAAGTCCAAGAGTTCAAAAGCTGAAGAACTTAGAGTCTGATGTTTGAGGGCAGGAAGCATCCAGCACGGCAGAAAGATGAAGGGTGGAAGACTCATGAAGTTGGCTCCTTCCACCTTCTTCTGCCTGGTTTATTCTAGCCGCACTGGCAGCTGATTGGATGGTGCCCACCCACATTGAGGGTGGGTCTGCCTCACCCAGTGCATTGACTCAAATGTTCATCTCCTTGGCAACACCCTCACAGACACACCCAGGAACAATACTTTGGATCCTTCAATCCAATCAGGTTGACTGACACTAAGTATTAACCATCACAAGACCCCAGAGGGCTCCCTTATCCCTTCCACCCTGTTAGGCAACAGCGAGAAGATGGCTGTCTGTGAATCAGAGAGCAAACCCTCACCACACACTGAATCTGCTGGTGCTTTGATCTAGGACTTTTCAGGTTCCAGAACTGTGATAAATAAATTTGTTATTTGTAAGCCACCTAGTTTATAGTATTTTGTTATAGCAGCCTGGATGGACTAAAATAGAATTCCCAGAATAAAATCTTGACTCATTCTAGATCCTTTCACAGGAGTGGCCTTGGGGCAAGTACAGAGATGATCTCTATCAGGAGTTGGCAAACTTTTCTGTTAAAAAACTAATTAGTAAATATTTGTAGCTTTACAGGCCTTATGGTCTCTGTCACAACCACTCAGCTCTCCTGGTGTGGCACAAAAGCATCCACAGATGATATGTAAACAAATGAGCATGGTGTGTTCCAATAAAACTTTATTTATAGATACTGTAAATTGAATTTCATATAATTTTTATGTATCACAAAATATTCTCCTTTTGACTTTTTTTCAACCATTTAAAAATGCAAAAGCCCTTCTAGCTCCCCTGTCCTGCAGAAATGGGGGGTGGGTAGGATTTGGGCCTCAGGCCATAGTTTACTGATTTCTGGTCCATATTCTGTCGTTTAGGGTCCTGATTACCTCCCCCAGTCAAAGCAAACCCAGTTTCTTTCACTCATGCCTGAAATACCTTCACTGCTGAAGGAGGAAGGCATTGTCCTTCATAAAAGAGGAAAAGGACACATCAGAGGGTCGGTTTAAAAGTGAAAATATTTTTGAGGGAGGTAATACAGCCTCTAAAACTTAAGTGTGAATTAGTACTCACTTTGTAAAACACTCGCCAGTTTATAAAATGTGCATTACTTACTTCTCACAGTGCCAGTGAAGTAGATATTTTTAATGTTCTCTTCACAGATGAGGAAAAAGTCCCTTAAAGATGAAGGGACTGCCTTCCCTTCATCTTTAGGGATGTGGTGGCTCATGCCTGTAATCCCAGCACTTTGGGAGGCCGAAGCGGGTGGATCACCTGAGGTCAGGAGTTCGAGACCAGCCTGGCCAACATGGCGAAACCCCGTCTCTACTAAAAATACAAAAATTAGCCAGGTATGAGCCTGTAATCCCAGCTCCTTGGAAGGCTGAGGCAGGAGAATGACTTGAACCCAGAAGGCGGAGGCTATAGTGAGTCGAGACCACATCATTGCACTCCAGCCTGGGCAACAAGAGTGAAACTCTGTCAAAAAAAAAAAAAAAAAAAAAAAAAAAGATGAAGGGACTGCCTTAGGCAGTGCAAGCAGAGCTGGAGCTTTCTCCAGGTGCGTCAGATGCGCTGCCTACCTGTGCTGTTAACGTCTAAGAAGCCATTCATTGGCCATCCACGTGTGCCTGGCTAGAGAAGGAAATACAGGTGAATCAGATGCAGCTCCAGTCCCAGGGAGCTCTGAGTGCAGTGGGGGAAGTACCTAGTGTTATCGTCAGAGCTTGGCTAGAAGGTGAGAGTAGGGTGGTCTGGGGATCTCAGAAGAGGGGGCCCTCACCCAGCCTGGCTGTGAACTGGGGGCCTTCTTGAGGGACACTTTGCTCCATCAGTGGAGGAGGGGTGGGTTGGCCTGATACTTTTGGTGTCTGGAAATGATGGGAACTTGGGAGGGTGGATCGGAGCCCTTGAGGGGATGGAGGAGTGGACACCCACCCTTGCCTTACAAGTTAGTCCATGGTGTCCCAGTTGCCAGGCAATGGAGTTCTCTGGATCAGCTCTGTTTCCTCTGCATGTAACTTGGATGAGTGTTGAAGGTGGCACACAGAACCTTGTGAAACTGTCAGACTGAGACTCTAAGGTCCATTCAGCCAGTTTGACTGAGGCTGGGGAGGCCTTTGAGAACAAGCTCCCTCTGCTGTCTTTCAGGTATAAACAAGGTCTGCATGGTAGCTTTGGAACTAGCACGCCAGCTGCTTGGTATTTCTGGGATCCCTTGCACGAAATATGGGCTCCCTAGCATTACCTGTCAGATCTGGTGCTTTTTGTTTCATTAAAAATAAAACAGAAAGCCCTCTAAGCAATGGCATTAAAGAACATCTAGAAAATAACCCTCTGCTTTCTCAGGAAAGATGTCAGTATGTCCACGGCAGGATTGATGAAAGAATTCTTGAAGCAGTGAAGAAAACGGACCAAGCTTCAGGGAAGTTGGCATAAGAAGTGAGAAAAAAAAATAAATCCAAACCAGAAAACGTGTCCGTCTCCAGAAACAATAGTTCTGCTGGCTAACCCCTTAGCAGCTGGTCTTCCCTGATTTTCTGTGGCCCAAGTCAGCTAGTCTATAAGAGGAAACAGTAACAATCACATACTTTTTCTTCTTGAGCCAGTTAACAAGTAATTATTAAGCCTCCTCAGCATGACCATCACTATGTCATTGGTACTGTGGGGGACTCAAAAGAAGCAAACGTGATCCGAATGTCTCATCAAGCTCAAGTTCAGCAGAAGGGAAAGCATGCCTAAATCCTACTTCAAACAATGAGACGAGCTAATCAGATGTCCCACTCGAGTTGAGATTGCAAATGCTATAGGAAGGAGAAGGGTCATGGTAGGCTAGGATTTCAAGGAGAAGGAGGGGCTTAGAGTTTAGATCTACAGAGAAAATTAGAAAGACATTTAAGGAAAGGCAAACAGCAGGCAACAAGACACCTCCTCCCCAGGCTAAAGACATTCTCCACTGATGGTCGTGCTTCATCATTCATTGAGAAATTAGTCATCCCATCTAAGCTGCTCATCTTTCCTGACCAAACCTTTAAACCTTCTTGTATCTGCATCTGCTGTTTCCCCTCTTGCTAGAATGGAGGATGCAGCCCTCCTCTTATCTAAAGCCAGCCCCTCCGCTAATCTTCAGGATCTTATCCCCTCTTGTTATTCTCATGGGCATCGCCCTGCCAAAGCTGTCTCATCCCTTTCAGGCAGCCAAATCCTCTTTCATCTCAGTACATCATTCCCATTAGTATATACACATAATCTAGCATCACCCATCCTAAACATAACCCCACCCGACTGCATATTTTCCCTTGTATTAGTCACCTTTATCCACAATAATTCTGCACAACCAATAACCACAGCATCTTAGTGGCATACAACTAGCATATGTTTTTGCTTACAGGTTTGTGGGTTCGTTAGAGTTCCACAGATCTAAGCTGGGCTCCAAGTTGTGGGTTGTGTCCCAAGCCTGTGCCACACATCGCTCATTCTCCTTCATCCAGAGGCTACCCAAGACATGTTCTCACAAAGAAAGGAAGGACCACGAGACGCCAAGCCCAATCAGGCAAGCACATTTCAAAGTCCTACTCAGGGCATATCTGCACATCCCATTGGCCAAACTTAACATCAGTGAGATGGGACATACACTCCTCCCATGGAGACTGAGGGAGACAGAGTACTTGCTGAATAATAATCTACCCTGTTCTTCCATCTTGTGTCCCATTTTTTCTGTTTCTCTTGATAGCCAGACTTCTAGAAGCGGTTGCCAACACATCATGTCCCCATCATGTTCCTTACCCTTCAATCTCTCTTCATCCCACTCCAGTGGCCTCTGCCGCAATCGCTATACCTGTGCCCCTCTTTTTTCTCTGAGTTTGTTTGGGCTGCTATAACAGAATACCATAGACTGGGTGGATTATCAACAACAGAAATGTATTTCTCACAGTTCTAGAGGCTGGGAAGTCCTAGATCAAAGCGCCAGTGGATTCTGTATCTGGTCAAAGGTCCACTCTCTGGTTCATAGACCGCTATCATTGTGCTGTGTCCTCACATTGCAGAAAAGGGGCGAGGGAGCTCTCTGGAGTCTCTTTTTATACAGGCACTAATCCATCCATAAGGGGTACATCATAATGACCTTATCACCTCCCAGAGGCTGTACCTTCAAATGCCATCACATTGGGGTTTAGGTTTCAAAATACGGATTTGGAGGGGACACAAACCTTCAGTCTATAGCATCATCTGTATTGCCAAATCCAATGGATGTGCTTTCATCTGAATCTTACCCTCTCTGTCTCTCAATAGCATTCCACACGGTTGGCTGCTCCCTCCTTCTTGAATTCCTTTCTCTTTTGGATTTGATTACTTCACCAGGTCCTGGTTTTCCTCTTTCTTCTCTGGCTTCTCCCAGCCTCTTTCCTTCTCTCCCCAAGTCAGTGGTGTTGTTTCTAAGGACTTGGTCTAGAGGTCTTCCTCTCCTCGCCTCTCCTCTCCTCTCTTCTCCTCTCCTCTCCTCTCTTCTCCTCTCCTTTCCTGTCTCCTCCTGTCCCCTGCCCTCCCCTCAGTAGATCCCCTAACTTTTCAGAATTTGGAATATCTTCTCTCTGTTGACTCCTAAATGTGCATTTCTCTCACAGTTATCTCTGAATTTTAGCCTCCTCTTATATTCAGCTGTGTCAACATTTCCACTTGGATGTCATGCATACTCCTAAACTTAATACTTCCAGACAGAATTGCTGTTTTTCCCCTCTATAATTTGCCCCCTATGTCTTCATCCTCAGCCACAAAGGTCATTCAACAGCCCACACTGGCATCCTTCTGAGAGCCTTTGTCAAGTTGTGTCTTCTGCCTGGAATGCTCTTTGCCTTCTTCTCCCCACCCATCCCTTTCTTATGGCTGGTGCCTTATCATCTTCTGGGTCACATGGTCAAATGTTACTATCCCAGAGAAGCCTTCTACCATTCTATCTAAAAGGCCACATTCCCCCATGCTGCCTCATTTTTTAGTTTGGTCTTGGGTTTTTACCAGTTACCATAATTAAGTGCTTGCTTTAAAATTTGTTCTCTTGGAGTTTATCTGTCTCCCTAATTAGAATGTATCCATCCTAGCAGGTGCTTGGTAAGTCTTTGTAGAATTTATGACCTTGAAAGACCCTTGGAGGTTGTCTAGTCTGCTGTTCGCCAATCTGCAGGCTGTGAACCCATGAGGGAGTGGTGGAATTATTACCCTGGGTCCAAGAGTCCGTAGTGCACCAACCATTCCTTAGGTACGGGAGGACTAAATAATAAATCTCACTCATATGTGTTCTACTTTTCAAATGATGGGGTTGTAATAAATAAAATATAGATTTATTTGAAGATATTACTAAGTTCACAGGGCCTCTTCATCTTCATGCGTTTTCTTAGTTAATGTATGTAAAAGTATACCCTTTTATGGTTTTTTTTTTTCACACTGAAAGGCTGAAAAACTGCTAACATCATTCATATGACTTCTATCTTTATGTTTGTGAAAACCGAGATCCAGAGGGATGAAGTTACTTGCTCAAGGTCACATTCTTCTGCAGTAAAAATGCCTGGCACGGGAGGGAAAGGAAAAGGTTAGGGGCCCAGGGAGCTATAAGCTATACAGCCTGGTGATGAGGAGCATGGCTGAGACCAGGCACTGCAGGGACCTGCTCAGTAGGGCAGTCCCAAGGCTGGGGGCCTGTGCTGACTTGTGTAATTAAAGGCAGTGACTTCTTAGAGGGTAGCCGCAAGTTGAGTGCTAGCAACTCTATGTGCCTGAAGACCAAGGTTTAGTCCAGAGTAGTGTGTGGCCCAAGTCCAGAGGTCCTAGGATGTAGTGAAGGCCTAATGGCCAGGGTGGGGAAATGATATGGCTTGGCTTTGTCCCCACCCAAATCTCATCTTAAATTGTAGCTCCCATAATCCCCACATGTCATAGGAGGGACCTGGTGGGAGGTAATTGAATCTTGGGGTCAGGTTTTCCGGTGCTGTTCTTGTGATAGCGAGTAAGTCTCATGAGATCTGATGGTATGATAAGGGGCAGTTAGTTCCCCTGCAAACGCTCCCTTGCCTGTCGCCATGTAAGTCCTGTCCTTGCTCCTCCTTTGCCTTCTGCATGATTGTGAGGCCTCCCCAGCCATGTGGAACTGTGAGTCCAGCAAACCTTTCTCTTTATAAATTACCAGTGTCTGGTATTTCTTCATAGCAGTATGAAAATGGACTAATACAGGAGGTGATAGTGGCAGAGCACGTGTCACATGTGGAAAATAACTGATCATCAGTTCAAGAAAGCACAGAGGAGCTGAGGGGTCCCCGCAGTGCAGCAAAAGGAAATGAAGAGACTTCTCATGAGCCCCTGAGGGTGGAGGGAGATACCGGAGGAGAAGGGGACTGGGTGATAGAGGTGGTGGAAGTCAGTCTGGGACTGAGTTTTCCCAGGTGCCGTGGCATGGAGCACATCAGTGCCCAGGCCAGGTTGCAGCAGAAGCTGACTTCCCTGCCTACTCCATGTGCCTCCTGCCCTGTGGCCCTGTGCCTCCCTGTGATTAACCTTCCCTTGTTGTCATCGACTTGGAGTTGAACTCTTCTGCAGCCATTCTTGGGAGCATCTTTTGGAGGCCCTGAAGGTCATGCTTTAGCACGAGCCCCTCCCTCTCTCTGGAGGCCCTTCTCATTGTCCTGATAGCTCTGGGGTACCCCGATGTCCCTGGTAGTAAATGTGCCAAGGAGATCCAAGCCTGCCTTTCCGAATGCCTGGAAGATGAGGGAGTGGGGCATGGAGATTTCGAGTCAGATTTCTAGTTAGGCAAATTAGTCTGGCATGGTTAAATGCCACTAATGGGGGAGTCAGATAGCTTTCATTTGGCTTTACCTGGCAGCTTAGCAAATGTGCTTGAATGATGTTCCCCTGCACGGAGTACTACACTGTGTCCCATGCAGTGCAAAGCGTGTCACACATGTTACTTTTTTTTTTTTTTAGATGGAGTCTCGTTCTGTCACCCTGGCTGGAGTACAATGGTGCGATCTTGGCACTCACTGCAGCCTCTGCCTCCCAGGTTCAAGTAATTCTCCTGCCTCAGCCTCCTGAGTAGCTGGGATTACAGGTGCATGCCACCATGCCTGGTTAATTTTTGTATTTTTAGTAGAGATGGGGTTTCACCATGTTGGCTAGGCTGGTCTCGAACTCCTGACCTCAGGCAATCCACCTGCCTTGGCCTCCCAAAGTGCTGGGATTACAGGCGTGAAGCCACTGCACTCGGCCACACACTTTACCTTTAATCTTCACACCAGCTGTGGGTGAGCCAGGTTAGATGAAGCGACTGAGGTTCAGGGAGGTTAAATGACTTGCATTAGGCTGCTCAGCTACCAAGGAGCAGAGAGACCCATTATTCCAGTCTTGTTTGACATGTTTGCACCCATGCTTCCCTTAGCAGTGTTTCCAAGAATATACCCCACTCCATGGCCCAGGCAAGCTGAGCATCACCTCAGGGCACTAAAGTCTTTTATAAACATCTGGAGCTAGACACATCAACTGCCGTGCTTTACATGCCATGCTGGCTGCCTGGTCCAAAGAAGGCTCTTCCTCTGGCCCTGAGATTCTTTGTTCCTTGAATCAGCCATCATCAGTTCAGTACATGTTCCCAGTACCTGTCCTGACCCATGTCTTCAAGATTCCAGCATTACCTCTTTGAGCTTCAGCCAACACGCTAAACCACGTATGTAGTATGTTGTCTTGACCAGGCTTACCTCTCTTAGCCTCAGTTTCCACCTCTCTGAGACCGTTTCCTTATCAATAAAATGGGGCATAATAATCGGTTGTGTTGAGGATAAAAGGATAAAATTGGAGGAAGTATCCCACACAGTGGCCAGTCCCGATGCTTGTTCAGTATGTGTTAGCTGAGCTGCATTTGTGGAGTGGCTGAGCTGAGATAAACATCCAGGTTCTGACTTTGAATCCAGCGCTCTTTCTCCCCTACTGGGCTATATACAAGCAACCTCTAGATATCATGTTCCTAAATCCACCCATAAATCCCTGAGAAAACCGCGAGATCCCCGGCAGCTCACCAACCACACAGCCTTTCACCAGGACTTCTCCGGCTTCTCCTTGCTTTGGCTGTTTTGAGACTCAGCAGCAGCAGCATGAGCGGGAGTAGGTGCAAGGTTGTGTAACTGCCCTGTCCTCAGATCACACATAGGGAAGGACTTGGACCTTGGGCTGCCTAGCACAGGGCAGCAGTGCCTGCCCACTGAACCATGGCTTCGTCACAGTCATTCCTAGCCAGGCACCTACACCTTTCCACAAAGACACGTCCAAGGAGGCAGCAGATCTGATCCCAATCCCACTGATCAACTTTCTCAGATACTGTGCATATAGATTGAGTGCTTGCCTTGTGCCAGACTCACGCAGTGGGGCATAGGGTGGAGGTTAAAACTGGGTGAAGGATGGGACCTTTGAGCTCAGCTGAAACTCAGTGAACCCAGACACGGCCAGATCCTGCTTCCTCACCCTCCTCCTCTTCCCTCCTTGTTCTGTTTTCTTATTAACTGGAACGAATGGGAGGAAATGATTAGACCAGACAGCTCGTTAATGATTATCGATTCACTACATTCCTTTCACCAAGTGCCTTGAAGGGAAAAGCCAGACCATGATCCTCATACAACAAAAACTCAGTTCTATATCCAAGAACGTGTGGTGCTTGGCTCCCTGCTTCCACCCCCCTCTGATCCCCACAGCTAAAGGCACTTAAGGCCATCTGCAGGTTCTGACCCAACCCATGCCATGTCAGTCAGGCTGGGCACATGGCAGGGACAGACTTGTCAACCATTCCAGTTTGCCTGGCTCTTTCTAGTGATAGCACTGGATGCCCCATATCCTGGGAAGCCCTCCAATCCTGGGCAAACTGGACCACTGAATACCCTAGCAGGCTACATTATTATTATTATTAATAGTAGTAGATTTCTTTGTTTTTTTCTTTTTCTTTTTTTTGAGATGGAGTCATACTCTGTCACCAGGCTGGAGTGCAGTGGTGCAATCTCAGCTCACTGCAACCTCCGCCTCCCAAGTTCAAGTGATTCTTCTGCCTCAGCCTCCCTACTAGCTGGAACTACAGGCGTGTGCCATCACGCCCAGCTAATTTTTGTATATTTAGTAGAGACAGGGTTTCACCATGTTGGCCAGGATGGTCTCGGTCTTTTGACCTCATGATCCACCCACCTCGGCCTCCCAAAGTGCTGGGATTATAGGTGTGAGCCACCGTGCCCAGCCAATTTCTTTTTTATCATTATTTCTTCCTTTTTATCATCATCATTATCATCAGTAACTAACATTGAGCACTTTCCATATGCCAAGACTTATGCCACACACTTACAATTTTTTACGAGGTAGATAATACCCTTCAGGCAGCAGAGGCAGAGGTTATAGTTAGTTCACCTGATCAACCCTTGCATAATTGCCTTGAATACCTAATTCATGTTTTCAGCTTCAGGTCAGCCTCCTAGTCCTTTGGTTCTAGAAACTGGCTTTCTCCAAGCATCTGCCTTGTCCTGATCTCTGGCTTTCAGCTCCATCTGTGACTGAGACCTGCTGACTATTACAGCCCTGGTGATTGAGGCCAGCCTTGTTCCTGACCTCCACATCTCAGAATTCTGCAAGAGACAAGAGTTGCACTTGAACTGTTTGTGGAGACTTGGCCTTTCTGTCTGCTTTCTGGATCCTGAGGCTGCCTTGGCCCCTGCCTGAGGCCAAGTGCCCTGCTTGTTGTGTGTTATCTGTAGGTCAGGAAGCATTCCTCTTCCCTGTTGCTAGGACTGTCTGCAGTCCACTGACTGTCCCAGGACTCTGCCCGATTTCAGGTCCTGGCATCCTTGAGACTGTTGGTCAGTCCCTTATTACTTATAGTTGGTGCGTGGTTGGCCTTACTGGGATTATTTGCAACTAGGTAAGTTTGTAGGAGCCTCTGCTCCCTGCCCTGTTGATGTGACATAGGCAACACAACTCTTTTTATATCAGTCTGAGTGTCCTATAACTAGGAAGATAAATAGACTGCTGAAAATAACATCTTGCACTCCAAAGGCATGTATAAATGACTTTTGGATAGGGTGGGCTCGATTAAAATCAAATTGATTCAAATCATGATTTGAATCACTAGTCAGGAAGAGTCGATTAAATCAATAGTTTTCCTTCAAAACTGCATTCATTTTTGATATAATTTTAATGCACAGTCTTCACAACTCTGACAGAGATAGATGTGGTTTTCATTTTTAGAAGTTACATACCATGCATTTTTAAGCTATGATTTATTTTGACATTTCATTGAATCAATTTTGCAGCCACGTCTGAGTCTTGAGTGGTGACTAGGTTATTTTATTTACCAAAGCTAATCAAACAAATGTGTATAATTTTCCCAACAAAATAAACATGTGCACTTTGGAATGTTTAACTATTTTTTGCTGTAAGTGTAAAAATGTGTTTTTGCTGAGATAAATTGAACTGTTTGAGACAGGTCCAACCCAAAACACTTGTAATATTATATTTTGGAGTTAACTCAGTCTTTACCCTTTCCTTCCTGCTTATTTTTATGTTAGAAAAGAAAGGTAAGCTTTTCAACTTTTGTAGTTCCGAAATGATTTCCAAGTTTAGACTGAATCAGTCTCCTTTGGAAAACATTCTTGCTATGTGTAGAGAAGAAATAGCTGTAATGACAAACTTGATATTTATCTTCATTATTGCCATGAATCCATATACTTGACTTCTGCCGGCTATTGGTATGACCTTCACGAGGCCTTATCCTTATCTTTCATGATTAACTGAGCTTTACCATTTCTGAAACAGATTCTCTTCACTGGGATCCACTGGGTTTTATTTTCGGAAAGTATTCTCACAGCAACAATGCATTTGAAATGAGATATTGTCTTAGATAAGGATGTGTTAGGGAGGGGCATGCTTCTCTTCCATCTTATCAGCCTCAGAATGTTTGGGAGGAACCCCTTACATCTTGAGGCCAAATAAAAATCTTGAGTTTATGATTTTACCTCCATCCTTTCTGAGCATGTTTCTGGCTCAGCCCTATGACATCATTTCTTAGAACGTGGCCACATATATTCTGTATCTGCCAGAAAATTTAGTATCTGCATCTTTCAAGCTGAAACAAGTGTCTTCCAGTTTTGTATTCCTAGGATCTAGAACGTAAGTGCATTTCCCCTATTCACATAGTTCTAATTGAATAGAATCATGACATTAGGGTTTAATAGAACCCAGTGATTTCCAAGTTCCATCCTCAAACTAACCCTTTCATGTAAAAATGAAGTGACTTGCACAGGTCACAAAGCCTGGGATGAGAAACCACGTCATCTGAGACTCCCAGAACAGGGGGTTTTCTTTAATAAGTCATCCTGAATTTAGATTTCTTCTCTTCATCTTCCTCTCTGCAAAGTAGTGATTTGTTTTTAAAGAAAACTGTTCTCCATATACAAACATCTAACTATTACTCATTTACAGCTGACCTTTGTTGGACTTGTACAGGGCTGCACTTAGAGTCTAAGAATGGAATGGACACCACTTAGTTCTAGCAGGGATGTTAGATTTAACAAATAAAAATAGAGTACACCCAGTTGAACTGGAATTTCAACAAAACAACAAATAATTTTAGTATGACTTGTGATATTTGGGACACACTAAAAAATTATTCATTACATATCTAAAATGGAAATTTAATCAGTGTCCTGTATTTTATCTGATAACCTTATTCTCCCCATTATTCAGGGTAATGTGTTTGGTTTGGTTTTTCTTGCTGACCTAAGGTGCTGAGTATCAGTCCAATTTTCAGGTGGCCAGACCCACTTGAGTTACTGTTTTCACTGCATATTCTGCTTTTCTTTGTCCTGTTTCATTTAAACTCTTTTTGGTCAAAGCTCTGATTTTGCCCCATGCACTGTTTTCATTGATGTGTATCACTGCATCCCTTTGAGTGGGCATCCTCATGTTTGCAGGGCTCATGCCTGCCTAAGCCAAACTATTTGGGCACCAGGTTGCAGGGGACTGGCTAAATGCAGGACTGCTGGAAGCCAGAGCAGTTCCCTGAGTGTCCAGCCCTTGCCTTCCCTGGGAGCAGCAGGAGGGTCCGGTGCCTGGGAAGTGACCACCAGAGGGAGTAGCCACAGTAGGGGCTGAGCTACGTGAGCCACACTCTGCCCAGAATGGGGGACCCGTGTTGGGTTGTAGGACCGTACATGACTAAGGAAGCCCGTGGGGTGCTCTTATCTGATACCACCACTTTGTGTTGTGCCAGACCCCTTTTAACCTCAACAGGGATGACACCATGTTCAAGAGGCTGAAGAGGAGACCCAGAGCCAACACATGAGACGTAGGGTTTTATTAGCAGGAGGGCAACTTACAGGGAGGTCTGGTGGCAGCAGGCTGGGCAGGAGAATCATAACCACTTGCAAAAAGCATGCTGTTCAACTACCGTTTTGACTTAGCACCCTTCCCTTAACAACCTCCACCTGGCAGCCTTCATTTAACCCCAAACACAGGGCCTTGATCTCCCGTACAGCCTGAGTTTCTCAGGACAGTCCGAGGGCTCAGCTCTTCCTCAGAGGTAAGGAGTGAATCTCCGGGTTGGCCACCCCCAGATTTCTTAGCTCAGAACTCTGAACACACATTCAGGTGCATCTTCCAAACAGGGTCATTCTCAGGGTACGTCCTGACGCTGTCAGGTGCATCTGCCATACAGCGAGTGAATGGAAGCCTCACCCAGAAGCCATCATCCCTAGAAGCATGGCTTCCTAATAGGAGGAGAATCCTTCTTGTCCAGCCAACTTCCACACTGATGTGGAGCCTGGGCAATAGCACTGGGTTCAAACAAGCTGGTGTCCCAAAGGTGTGGTCACCTATGCCAAATATCATCATATGCATTTTCATGTATTTATGTTTTCTAGAATTGAAAACAGTTTGCAGCTGACACCTGAGCCTACCCATTTCGTTCTGAATGCAATTTCAGCAGCCCACTGTAGCTCCCCTGCTCTCCCTCCCAGGCATGGAACAGCCATGGCCCAAGATGAGTCGTGTCCAGTGAGTCAGAACTGAATTTGTAGTCCTTTGCTCTCCTGGTCCCCAAACCCTGCTTTGCCCTACTTTCCCCTGCTCTCCTGTGCCTGGGTTCTCCCAGGCCTATATCTCGCCCCTTGCCTTCATCTTGTGTGCCTGTGCTGTTCTCGGATGCTGCCTGCTTGCCTGCTTTTCAGCCTGCAGTCTCACCATGCAATCTAGCTTCTGAATGTTTGCCTTGCCCTGTCCTGAGCATGCGGTGTGGCCCCGGGGCCTGAGAGCTCCCTGATTCTGGTACTTCTGTAGGGCTAGCCTCAAGACAGCTCACATCAGCCAGGCACAGCACAAGGTGAATGGGATTGATTTGATCTGGCTCCAAGGAGTGGGAAGAGAAACCTTTAGAAGGCCAAATCTACCTAGGATTGCTTTGATGAAAAATTCAGACTTAGATCCTTTATTCTATAAGCCACTTAGTTGGCTTTAACTCTGAGGACAATTTTCTGGTAGCCTTTAAAACAATAATAGGGTTTTCTTATCAATCTGTGTTCCTTTAATAAGGGGAAGGCCCATTAAGAGGGGGTCGGGGGCCTGACCAGGTGAACTTATGATCGTCTAATGTTGTCCAACCTCATTAACATTTTCACAGCCTTGCTAAAACTTGAAAGTTGTCCAGTAGGATCATTACCATTCAAGTTTTCTCCTCCTAATGAGCCTGAATTTTCCCTGCCATAGCTTATGCCTGATACTTTTCAGCTGTTGTCCCTATTGACTAATGAACATAATTGGTCCCGGGCTATTTTCCAGCCTGCTCCTTTCAGAACCTGCACTGTCTCCACTGGAGCCAGTCTCTTCTCAAGATCACCTTTGCCTCTTTCCATTTTGTCCTGCATTTTCACCTCTGGCACATAGCAATGTCCTCAGCTTCTGACTTAAGCTGTTTTCTTCCGACTTGCTCTAGCCTCTTGGCCTGGCCTGGTCTCACTCTGTCATTAAGTTAGGCTCCACAACTCTATTTTGTAACCTACTATACATTCCTCTGTGGACACAACATGATAAATCTTGATCAGGTGCCTCAGCCAACCCATAATAGCCTTTTAACCTAGACTGTGACTGAAAAGCTATGCACACGCAATGGAAACTGGGAAGTGATGTGGCTACCTTGCTAATTAAGGAATGACGCCCAAAGGTGATAGAATTGAGTGAGAAATATGTGTATTTTCCTGGTGCTCAGGGAAAAGTTGGTTTAATTAGAGACAGATAAGGAGGTAAATGAAGATTTCTGGGGATTCCGAAAGGGGACTTCTGGGTACTTTCAATGTCATTATTGAATGATAAAACTGTTTATCATTTAAAATTTCATTTTGCAACCTAAGCTTTCATTTGCCCTGATAAAGGGGCTCATAGACTTATCAGATGAGACTAGTATCTTTGGAGGTTTGTAGCAGCAGTGAAGATGGGGAAAGAAATATTTAGAGAGAGGATAAAATATTTCCTGGGGTAATTGAAGGGAAAAGGACAGAATTTAAAGAGGGAGACAGATGTTAAAATGGAGAGAAAGAAACTGCTGGAGATGGTAGGAGTTGAGTTGTGAATGGTAAAAGATGGGTGTGTATATTAGATTTCATAAGTTCCTTGAGGAATGTAGGTAAAAAGAAATAATGGGAAGATTTGTAGCTTGTAATTAAGACAAGATCCTTTAAAATAGGACTCTCCTTCATTGGAATACTCACTTCTGTGACCTTGGGCTTGTCGTTTATCCTAACCTCTTTGTACCTGTTTTACTTATCTGTAAAGTGGGTCTAAAAATGCCCACTGCTTAGCACTGTGAGAAACAAATGGGGTGATGTTTGTAATAGCGTAGCACATTTTCTGCAGAATCCAATAAACAGAAGCTGCAATTATTATAAGGATTGTTACTATACTAATATAAATAGCAACAGTAATCATTACTTTCTCTACCACATCTACAATCAGTGCTGTTGTCATGAGGGATGGAGTGGCATTGTGCAAAATTCAGCACTTGTACAAGGCACTGGAAAGCTGAGCGTCCCTAACTTTGGGGCTTATGATCATCTAGCTATGGTGATCTTAAGTCCTGGTTCATCTTGGCTAGTATGAGTTTACACCTGTTGTCCAAGAGCAGTGCCTTTCTTTATTCTTAAAAGTGTTCCAGTTTGGGTGACAAATCATATCATTCCCTACCTTTGATATTTACTGTCTAAATCAGTAAGACAGTATTATTGCATTATTCATAGTTTCCAATTTTTTCAAATGGATTGAGTTTCTTGAGGCCACTAAATGTATATGTACATGTAAAAAAAAAAAAAATATATATATATATATATGTATACACACCCCTATCTAGTGCTCCTTTTGCGTTTGCAATAGGAATTAAATAGGACTTACCCCATGGAAATGTTGGTGACCTCATCCTCCAGTGGCCATTTCTGTAGGACCTGTTCCTTGCCACTGTTTGCTGATTGATACAGGCTTCTCACAGAAAAGGGATCTCCAGAGGATGGTGGTCTCAGAGCGGGGGTGGAGACAGGAGCAGAGTTGGTTCTGAAGTGTGGAGCTGTGGATGAGACATTGGGTGGCATCCTTGCCTGGCACTTAGGAGCTACGTCCTCTTGGGCCAGTCACTGAACTTCTCTGAGCCTTAGTTTCTTCGTACAGAGAATATGAGTCATAGAATAGACCTTGAAGACTTGTTAGAAGGATTGTATTGT
The DNA here is from genome assembly GCF_000001405.40 of Homo sapiens. NCBI lineage: Eukaryota > Metazoa > Chordata > Mammalia > Primates > Hominidae > Homo > Homo sapiens. The sequence continues at coordinate 31,076,228 of NC_000002.12, read as the reverse complement.
GTGGTGCATGGTGGGTACTCAATAAATGGGAGGAGACTTGAGTAGGACAACTCACTAAATATTTGTGGGCAGCATCATGTCCTGGCCTCCTTCCTACTCAACTCTTTTCTCCAGTTCTTCCAGCTGTTATCTATACACAGTGGTTTCCAAGACTGCTGGTCATCTGTGTCTGCTCGAGTTAAGACAGCTTCTGACCAGGTAGACGGATAGGTTGATTCATTCAGTCTAGAAGTGTTCATTGAAGTAGGTGTCAGGCACTGTGCTCAGGGAATTCTCTGCCAAACAACCAGATGCAGCCTCTGCTCTTGTGGGACTTGGGACTGTCGGAGTTGTTTGTAGTGTGCTTTAGAGAGATTTCTTTCCCTAACTCACGAATGTGTCTGTAGAACTTCCCAGAGTCGCAAAGCCCAGCATGGGGGAAGGGTCTTCTTACAGTGGGCTTTGAACTTCCTGCCTGCCTCAAAGTGAAATCATGTTATTGAGATGGAATATGTGTGATTCAATCATCAATTCAGCAGTGAAAGGAAAAGCAGCAGCCTGGCAGTCCTGGTGGAGTAAATCATCCCGTGAGCACGGAGGAGCAGTGGTCCCTAATAGCTCTTGTAAACACGCTGTCACTCTCAGAGCTGGGCGTAGGCCAGCTGAGCCTCTTCCTGCTGTGCCTCTCTATTTCTCAGAAATGCTGCCATGTCCAGCTGTGACACACATTCTGCATCATTCAAGAAACACTTTTCAAGCCGATCTCCAGGACGCAGAGATTGTTTCTGATTGCTTCCAGATCAATCAACAAACCTTTTAGGAGCAGCTTCTAGGTGGGTGGAGGCTCAAAGATGCAGGAGACACATTTGCATATGAAAGATGTGTGCTAGTTTGCTTTTGCTTTTCTCTAAAGGAATACCTGAGACTGGGCACTTTATAAAGGAAAGAGGTTTAATTGGCTCAAGGTTCTGCAGGGTATACAGGAAATGTGGTGCTGGCATCTACTTCAGGCGAGGACCTCAGGAAACTTCCAATCATGGCAGAAGGCAAAGGGGAAGCAGGCATCTCACGTGCTCTGTTCACAGAGCAGGAGCAAAGAGAACAGAGGGTGTGCCACACTCTTTTAAACAACCAGATCTTGTGTGAACTCAGAGCGAGAGCTCACTCTCATCACAAGGACAGCACCAAGTCATTCGTGAGGGATCCGCTCCCAGGACCTGAACACCTCCCACCAGGCCCCACCTCCAACACTGGGGATTACATTTCAACATGAGATTTGGAGGGGACAAATATCCCAACCATATTAAGATCCATGGGCAAAACCACAGTCACATCCTAGATCCTGTTGCCATGGGTTGAGGACAGCATGGCCCCAGTTTTCCTATTCTTCTCAGTATCCATGGCCTTTACAGTCTGAGTCAAGAGAGTCAGTGTCTCTACCTCTTAAGTCTGGGCTGACTGTGATTTGCTTTGGCCAATAGAATATTGTAGAAGTGATAATATGACAATTCTGAGTCTGGGTTCCAAGAGGGCTCGCATGAGTGTTCTCTCTCTCCCTCTCTCTCTTTTTTCTCTATGTCTCCCTCTTAGAACTCTACCACTGCCTAAGAACAAGTATAGTAGCCACTACTGCAGGATGAAAGATTGTGTGTAGCAGGGCCTAGACTTCCCAGCTGAGACCATCCTGAACCAGTTAGCCCCAGGCAGACCTGTAAGCTGCCCACAGACAGCATGAGTGAGCCCAGCCCAGATCAACCCGCCCAGCCCAGGTCAGCAGAATCCCAAGCTTACCCAGAGATGTGAGAAATAAAAAACAGTGGTGGTTTTAAGCAAAAAAAAAAATCCCCCAAAGATGCACGGGGGCTGTTGAACCCCTGTGTGCCTAGCGCTGCATATGGACTGTCACTGGCACTCACAGCAGCTGCCCTTTGTTAGCTCCATTTCACAGATGAGGAAGCCAAAGCTTGGGATGTCAAGTGACTTCTCCAAGGTCAGGCAGCTCAGAGTGGGACCCATCAGGGCTGACTCTGCAGGCCGTGTGCTTTGCTTGGTGCTGTGTGCTTGGCACCGTCTCCCTGGCACCGTCTCCCTTCAGTCTGTGTCTTCTCCTGGGCAGTGAGCTGTAGTCCTCTATTTCCTACTTCCTCTGCACCATGGGGCCATTTCTCATCCACATTTACCTCTTCTAACTCCTCAACTCACAGGCAGCTGTTGGCAGTGTAAAACCCCATTTAATTATTACTATGCACAGAGAACTCAGGGCCCAAATAAATATACAGGTAGACAGGTAGCCAGCCTGGTCTAAGGCAGAGGCCCTGTGTGGCAATGGAAGGAGAGCGTTCTGTTCCTCCCCTTAGCACAGCTGCCACCATCTTCTCTCACTTGGACCATCCAGCGGTCTGTAACGGTGTCCTTTTAGTCTTTTGCCCACAGAGGCTAATGATATTTTAAAATGTGAATCCAAGTCAAACTCCAAGTCACAACCCTCCAGTGGCTGTTTGCCACACTTACAATAAAATGTATAGTCCTCATCAAGGACTCCAAAGCCATATATGAGCTGACATCTCCTTCCCTGCCACCCTGACCTCATCTCTTTTCTTCTTTCTTTCACTTTCCTGCCCCAGTCCCGCCGGCCCCTAGCTGGTCCTTAAACCCACAGCATGTCTCAGGCCTTTGCAGTTGTTTTCCCTCCAGGAAGCTGCATGATTACCCTATTTAGAGGAGGCTTCTCTTGCATCGTTCCCCAAATGCTGTTCCCCCCCCCTCTTTATTCCCCAAATTTAATTTTTGTCATAGTAGAGATTATTTATCGACTGATATGTCCATCTCTTCCACTAGAATGCAAGGTCCACAAGGGCAAAATCTTTGTTTTTTTGACTATTCTATTTCCCATGTCTAGAACAATATCTGCATATAGTCAACATGCAACAAATATTTATATTTAAGTCTCATGTCTATAACTAACATGTTTTGAGTGCATATCATATGCCAGGCATAGGGCAAAGTTATTTCTATTATCTAAACCTCACAAAAATCCCACAGAGTGAGTCCCTTTTCATATTCCCATTTTGCAGACGAGGACCCTGGAGCACTGATCCTACATATCTCGCTCAAGATCACGCAGCTGGTTAGCGTTGGAGCTGGGGGTGTTTGAGTCCAGATTGGAAGCCCTTACGTACTATCCCAGGTGACCACTTGCTGCCATCACTCAAGCAGTGCAGGGAGGAGTTCTCCCTGTAAAGATTGCCTGTGCCCTAAAGTTCCTAGTATTTCCCCTGAACTTTGATTCTTTGCCTGTTGACATCTTCTGTGCATCTAACACTCAACTGTTTAAGAGCAAAAACCAATTTATCATTATGTGTAAAAAATGCAGGGCTCAAAGAAGGCACAAGTAGACAATCAGCAAGCCCAGAGCAAGGCAGAGAAGTCACATGTCATGGAAGGAGCACTGGGGTGGCAGTCTTACGGACTGAGCCACCCTGTCTGGCACATCTCTGCTTGGTGCCCTAGTCTGCATAGTTCTCATCTCTTACCTCCTGTCTAGAAGGCTTCGAGGGAAGTCACTTTGTCCCTGTCCACTGAGATGAGGGATCCTATAGGAGAGATGCCTGTGTCACATTTGGAATTGGACTTAGTTGTCCTCTAGGTCTCCTTCACCTGCAGGAGTTCCAGGTTGTAAGGCAGTAAGTCTAGTAAGGAAGAGGCAAAGGAAGGCAGAATTTTCCAAGCAAACCACAGTAAGGGGCTGTGAAACAGAAAGGAAATGAGAGAAGGAAAGATATAGGGCAGAAAGAGGATGAAAGAGAGGAGAGGTCAGGCGAAGGTGAAAATGAAAGAGAGGAAGAAAGCAATGAGGGAACAAAAGAAAAAAAAAGAGAGCAAGAGAGACAAAAATTTTGACCTGTGTATCTCTGCACGTCCGCATGCGTGTGTGTGTGTGTGTGTATGTGTGTGTGTGTGTGTGTGTATGTGTGTGTGTGTGTGTGAGAGAGAGAGAAAAGAGAGGAGACATACACACAGTGGAGGAAGTTGACTGGATGCCAGGAAGACAACCAAGCTCCTTCTGCCCTCGCCCTCCACCTCTGCACCCCACAGCAGAGGGAAGATGGTGCCTTCCACCCTTCCATCTTGAAATGCTCCTTTTTGCTCTGGGTTCTCCATGTTCTTCCACGTGTCTCTAGCACATCTCCCTTTCTGACTCCTCCCCATGCCCTCTTCTCTTTTCTCCCACACGTGGGTGGCCCCCACCCTGCAGCCTCACTGTCTCCTGGGCACCGTCTCCACTGGTGGTTGCTAAGTCAGCATCTCCAGGCCGCTTTCTGGGTGTGTGGCTGCGCAGTTGCATGGGGGCCTGCTCTTGGTTTCATGCTCTGTTGTTGCTGTCTTGAAATTCTTAATGACTTCTGAGCAAGAATCCTGCATTTTCATTTTGCACTTAGCCTTATAAACTCTGCAGTCCGTCCTGCCCCAGAGCCCAGAAACCCACTGTTGGGTCTGAAGGAACAGAGAGCTGTCAGAATCCAGAGGCAGGCAGGGGCCAGAGGAAGGGAGGCTCAGACGAGAAGGAAGAGCTGCAGAGCACCTTAGAAACCGGGGGGCAGATTCCTGGGACCAGGTGAGCCAGGTCATCAGGCAGGGCAGGAGAGGTAGGCCCGGGACACACAGTGACAGAACTCACAGTGCCTCCACCACTTTGGGTCTGGCTGTGTGGAGCCCTGCCTGTCTGTCTAGGTGGGCAGGGAAAGGGGCTGGGACAGTTGGAGCTCATGTTACTTGACACCAGTTTCTGAATGAGGTTTTTCCATCCACCCTTGATTTCAGCTCCTAATTGCTCTCCTCAAAGTCACTGGCTCTCCATTATCCTCTGGATGCTCTGATGTCCTCCGGACTTTGTTCAAAAAAGAGCTGGAAAAGGTCAAGTCCAGGAGGAACTCAGACTCTTACTAGGCACATGTTTGGTTGACCCTGGTTCTACTTTCTCTTTTAAAAAAAATTTTTATTTCCACAGGTTTTGGGGGAACTGGTGGTATCTGGTTCCATGAGTAAGTTCTTTAGTGGTGATTTGTGAGATGTTGGTGAACCCATCACCCAAGCAGTACACACTGAACCCAGTTTGTAGTCTTTTATCCCTTACCCTCTTCCCAGCCTTTCCCCGAGTCCCCAAAGTCCATTCTGTCATTTTTCTGCCTTTGTATCCTCACAGCTTAGCTCCCACTTATGAGTGAGAACATATGATATTTGGTTTTCCATTTCTGAGTTACTTCACTTAGAATGATCCCGTGTAATCTACAATCCCATGACCCTGGTTCTACTTTCATTTTTTCCAAGCCTGAGGAGGCCCTGGTCCCTGTTTGCTAACAGAGACCAGACAGTGCTTATTGCTCCTGCAAGCACAGTGCCTGTCCCTGGGTAGGGCCAGCCTCTCTGCATCCTTTAAACGTCAAATTACTCAAACTTCCAAATTTTCCAGTTTGCAATTGGACAAAGGATTTTGGATCATCCCACCAATGCAATGATTTGGGCATGTGGCTACACGCTGGAATTTGGATGAACCTGAAGAAAAATTCAGACTTTAGGAGGCAAGATTTTGCATTAAAATTGGAAGTGCAGTTCACAGCATTGCCCTTGTTTGTTTCGGCTGTGCTGGCTCCTGGCTGTCAGCTGCCTCCCCTTGGGCACGCCGATAAATTGCTGCCGAGCATTTTTCAGGCTGGGAGAAAATGGATGAGTCACAGGGTTTGGGGAGCCTAAGTGCAAGCTTGTTTGAGTTCAGTGTAAAATGGGCAGGTTTCAGAAGGAGGTGGTGTTCAGGTGAGGGACACACCCAGAGGTCTCTCAGCATCTCTGTTCCTGAGGACAGGACAGCCTAGGCAAGACCCAGATGGTGTGGCCATGTCTAGGTTTCTTCCAGAGGAACAATGGGACCTACGTGGTCCCCTTTCTAACACCAAAACTGATCTCTTATGTTTATGGGCTCCTTTCTGGAAGCTGGGTGAGTGCCAGGTCCTGACTGAACTTAGGAAGGCACTTTGTGAATGAGTAGATGGTGGAATAGCCCGTGGTCAACCTGGGAAGAAGTCCTTGGTCGAGGGATCCCACTGTATGCCCTGCCATGAGGTAGTGAGCTTCCTGGGACATCACTCCAGTGGTGGCTTCTGGCTTCTTCTCTTTTCTCCCAGAGGTACTTGGAGGATGCTCCATGGGACTCGGAGGGTGGGGGTAAGCGGACACAGGAAGGATTGTGACTTTGCCCCCGGTTGATTAAGCCATCCTCCTCCTCTTCTCTCGGTCCAGGCCAGCTTTGATGCATTTCTTTCCTTTCTGTCTCAGTGCCTGCTTCTCACTGAGCAAGACAGTTCATCACCCCATCGAGATGGAGGAGACAAATGACAGCAGTAACGTGAACTGAGCAGGATTAGATAAAACCAAAGAGCTATCACACACAACAGTGGACAGTCATTTAAAAGGAAATCCATCTCGTTGTTGCCCAAGGCCTCTTGGGAAGAAAAAGACATCTTTCTATTGCGAGTTCAGCTTTTACTTTTGGGTGTCAAGCCTCCAGGAAGCTCAGGCCCTGCTGCTCCGGGGAGGTTGTGATCCTGAGTTGCCATAAATGAAGGCTCCTGGGGTCAGGGTTAAAAGGGAAGGCTGGAGACAGACTGCATGTGTTTAAATCCCAGGGTGCCGGCACTCAGGGTCTGCCCATCCCTGGGTAAAGTATCACATTCATTCAACCTCTCAGAGACTCCATTTCTTCATTTGTAAAATGGGGATTATAACAGTGTTTCCTTCCTAGGGCTATTGTGAAGAATAACTGGGGAAATACAAGCAAAGTGCTTACTACGTAACAGGGATGCAATAAATGATAAATACAGCGATTAGAGGGCAGATTCAGACTGTCTAACCTGTGTGTACACAAGTACACTCTCACAAACACAGAATGTCACCTTCCTTAAGTGGCCTTGTGGTAAATAACTAGAATGTTTAATGCTGTTCCTGAGATCTTAGCTTCCTCCCTGTCCCTCTCTATAGAAGAAAGATAAAGGTGGCGATCCCATCTTTTTATTTTTTAAAATAGCTTTTTTGAGATATAATCTACATACCATACAGTCTACCCATATGACAAGTAAAGATCAATGGTTTTAGTGTATTCTCAGGGTTATACAACAAGCACATAATCTAATTTTAGAACATCTTTGACCTCCAAAAGAAACCCTGCACCATTAGCATTCAATTCCCATGCCCCACCCCGCTCCAGGTGACCACTAATCCACTAATCTGCTTTCTGTCTCCACACATTTGCCTATTCTGGACATTTCATATAAATAGAATCATACAATACGTGGCCTCTTGCGGCTGGCCTCTTTCATTTACCATGATGTTCTCAAGGTTCATCTGTGCTGTAGCACGTGCCAGTACTTTCTTCCTTTTTATTAGCAAATATTATTCCATTGTATGGATATGCTGGCTTTGTTTACCCATTCATCAGCTGAGGGACATTTGTTTTGTTTCTGCTTTATTATTAGTCCTCCAGCCTCATCTTAAACACCTAGGGGCCCCATTGTTGCCCTGTCTGCACGGGGCAGTGGTGAGCTGCTCTGTTCAGAAAGGTTATCCCAGAACTGTCTCTAGTGTGGCTTCTTTGCAGGGGGAGGTAGAACAGGAGTAGCTCTGCACTATTCAAAATGCATTTGCTATTAGTTATGGACCTTTCTTTTCTTTTCTTTTTTTTTTTTTTTTTTGAGACGGGGTCTTGCTTTGTCACCCAGCTGGAGTAGAGTGGCGTGATCTCTGGAGTGCAGTGGCGCAATCTGGGCTCACTGCAACCTTCGCCTGCTGGGTTCAAGCTATTCTGGTGCCTCAGCCTCCTGAATAGCTGGGATTACAGGCGTGTACCACCCCACGTGGCTAATTTTTGTATTTTTAGTAGAGACGGGGTTTCGCCATGTTGGCCACGCTGGTCTCAAACTCCTGGCCCCAAGTGATCCACCTGCCTTGGCCTCCCAAAGTGCTGGGATTACAGATGTGAACCATTGCACCCAGCCAATTATGGACCTTTTTAAGTCTACAGCTGCCTTCTCTCAGAAGCAACTGGAACATAGGGGTCTGCTGGTCTGGGCTCCAGGGTTCTGACCAGAGTTTCCAGTTTTGGGAGTGGACTTGGAATCCCTTTCTGGGCAGGGCTTGGGGAAAGGATAAGAGTCTGTCTTGAGGCAGGAGGAAGGGGTGGCTCCTGAGCTTTGTTTCAGGTACAGAGAAAGAGAGTCAAGGCCCACACGAAGGAAGAGCAGGTTCCAGAATGAGGGGCCCAAGTCCCCAGCCTTCCTGCCTGCTCCTCCCCAAGACTGTAGGTCACAGGAGGAGTAACGGTGTGCATGCCCAGACTACCTGACTCGCCTTAGCCACTGAGTGACTTAAGTCCCTGAGCCCTTCTGAGCCTTAATCCTTGTCTGGAAAATGGGGTGAGACATGCCCATTTTATAACATTTTAATGAAAATTAAGTGAGCTGATAGTGGTAGAAGCAGAGCGCTGTATGGAAGTGACAGAGGTTTATTTTTGCTGTGCAAGTTGGCTCCAACTCTTAAGTCCTCCCTCTGCTAGAGGGGTAGGCTCTCCTGTCTTTGAAACTGGGTAAACTGAGGCATGGAAAGCCACCTCAGTCATGGAGCTACCATGGGCAGAGCCAGGGACCCTATTTTACAGCAGACCTAATGTCCTGAGCAGACCCTGCTTTCCTGAGTGAGTGCACCCTCTGCCGGCACAAAACCGGCTCAGAAGAGGATGCTCAAAGTCTGCAAAGTCCGGGGATGTCGTGAAGACAGCCTGAGTCTCTCGGTGACCCCTGTGCCTCTGCACTCAGCACGGCATTCCCAGACTCTCAGGGCTTCTCTAGGGTAACGAGGGGCACTCATCTTCTCTTTGGCCCCCGTGGGGACATGGACCCCTTGCTCCTGGGCTCACTGCATGGCTGGAAGTTCAGAGGTTCCTGCTGCCATTCCTCTCTGCAGCACAGAGCACTGAGACTGACTATGGGAATCTCCTGTTTGGCCCCCTGCCCTTGCCTATGTGACAAATAAGGGGACCAAGGCCAGGGAGGCTGGGTGATGGGGAGAGAGGACCCTGGGCTGGCGGGAGGTAATGGCAGGGCAGATACTATGGTCACTGAGGGATGATGATGCCAAGACTGCTGGGGGAAGGAAAAGGAGACTTTTGGCTGAGGAAGGCTGTCCTGGTCCCACTGTGTCACTGGTGTTACAGAGGGTAGGGAAAGGCTGATGTCCAGGCCCCTGGGCAATGTCGGGGTGAGGTAGGTGGGTGTGCAGCAGCCTGCCCCTTTCCCAGCTTGGCTGGGTCTGGAAATTGCATTTTCCACAGCCTGGGCAGCTTTCTATGTGACTAGATTTCTCCTTTCTGTTTCTGGAGGGCAGCCCAGCTCAGGAGGCTGGCATTGTGTGGCACCGTGGGAGCAGGCTGGCCTTGGTGGGGGGTGGGGGGTGCTCTCAGTGGTGGCAGTGTTGGCCTGGGCGGGCATCTCTGTGCACCTGCAGCTGAGCCCTGGGGGCTGCCTGCTCTGTGCTCCGGCTCTTCACAGAAACCAATATTTGCAGTCAGGTTTATCTTTCCACTGGGATCCTGGGGATGATGATGTTTTGGCCGAGATGTACTTCGTGTCCAACTCCTGTCAGCATTTCTGAGGGAAGAGTGCTCATTAAAGGCTTCCCTGCACGGCCCCTCCCTGCTCACTGGGCCTGAGTGACATAAATAAGCCCCTTGTTTCTTTTTCACGAGCAAACCCAGACCCTTAAAGATGGCTGGACACCACCCCCCCGCCCCCCGCCCCCGCACCCTTTCGCAGCTGCTGGAGTCTCCGGTGGTGTGGGTGAGTAATGGCCCTGTCGAGGCCCAGCCTCACTCCTCTGGCTTCTGACAGGCACCTGGGTGCTCTACAGCTGGGAGGCTGCTAGGAATTCTTCATCGGTCTCCCTTAATGGTAATGCCCTGGCCTCTGGGGGGGCCTACAACCAGCTCAGCTGAGGAGCCGATGCAAAGCATGGAACAGCAAGCACACTCAGAATGTAACCTCCATGGGATGGAAAGGGGCAACAGGGCCATGAAAAAGGGCCCTGTCATGTATGCCTCCTCCTCTGGGCACCTACAGCTATGATCTCATCTCTCTCACATATCAGCCCTGTAGGCGAGGTAAGGTAAGAATCAGAGAAGTTGAGCCACTTGCTCTAGGTCACACAGGTAGGAAGAGGGTGGGGCGGGGATTGGAATCCTGACTCGAAGGCCTGTACTCTTGTTACTGTGCCCTACTGTCTTCCCATGGGTTAAGTTTTTGGATGGTCTCTGGGGGATACTTAGGTAAGTCACAAGGCATGAATATATTCTGAGCTGGAACTCAAACCCAGGTCTGCCTCTTGACTTCTGCTGGGCTCTTCATTCTCCTCAGACACCCGGCAGGAGGGATTTGTAGGAGGGTTAGTTATGGTCTATCTCAAGGTCAGAGGCTCCCCAGCACGATTTGAATGTGATGCCTTCCATAGTGCTTCAAGTCACACATAACTTTTTCAATACAGTCTGCAAATCTGAGGCCCTGCCGGACCATCATCAAGTTGACCAGGCAGGAAGGTGTGCAGCAGCAGCATCTGCCCATTCCAAGGCCCTCCTCCTGGCCTCTTGCTGGCCCTGACTCCCCTCCCCAGCATGATGCCATCTGCTCATGATCTTGTCTGCTCATCTTTGCCAGGCACTAAGCTGCGTGCTGTACCTGTAGCATTTAATTTGCCTTAATTCTTACCACTTTCCTGAAAGGTATTCTCCCCGTTTTTCTGATGCAGAAAATGGATCTCTGAGAGCGCTACTGACTTGTCCAAGTTCACATCACTGTTCCATCAGTGGAGGGACTGGGACAGACCCACAGGAGTGCTTTTTCCACCATCATCTCAGCCCTCAGTAGAGCAGGAGTGAGGAAGCGGGAGGCTTGAGGCAAGAGTGTGAAACATCAGACATCACCTTTGCCCTCAGGGCTCTGGAGACCTCAAGCATCCACATAATATTTAAAATAATAAAACCAATGAGTAGACAATAAAGGACCAAGATGGATATCTGGGCTGTATATTCTGTGGGTGAACAGAGCTGGGAGGTCTTCTGGGCTGATCTGGAGAGAAGAGACCAGTTTGGGGCCTGCTTCTGGCCACTCCTCCATCTCCCCCACTTTTCATCACCCAAGGAGAAGCTCAGCCAGCCTGAAAGTGTGAGCGCTTCATCTGCCAGCAAGGAGGGAGGAGACAAATCACTTTAAACGTGCGAAGAGTTTTTTTTACCACTCTTTCCCTTCTCATCTTTGTTTATTCTGGAGATCAATACAGACAATGGGAAAGTTATTCCCAGGAGAAGACCTGGCTATGTAGTTTTAAAATATACTTACTCCTTCTTCCCCAGTCCCCTTCACCTTCCCCTATTGGATTTATTGAGAGCAGAGCCATTTCCGAGAAGCAATGTCAGGTAGTGGTGTTTGGATGGTGAGCTATGACTGTTGTCTATCTCAGGTGCACTTGTGTCTGGCGAGATCCAATAGGATGATCTCACTTCTGCCAGCCCAGCCGAAATCAGCGATATATTTGTGTTGTATATTTTGGCCTGTGAACATCCACTCTTGGGTATTCTATAAATGGAATAATCTAAGGGAATTAGAATAGATGTTCATTTTCAAATGTTTCCTCCAGTGGAGTCCCTTTAGTTAAATTTAGTCCCCAGATATGAACTGGGTAAAAGTGGAGTTCCTTTGGTTTTCGGGGACAGGGTTTGGGACAACACAACCACAGACTCCAGGCCTCTGAGGGAGGTCTGGAAAGCACTGGGATAGTTGACTGGAAGGCAGTTTCTAGATCTAATATTTTAAAAATTTACCATCTTATATTATTCTCCTCAGTTTTGTGTCTGTGACTGGACTTTCCTGGGAGCCAGTGACAGCTGCGTGGGCAGAGACATTCTTTTACATTTAAGTTGTGTGCCTGCACACAGTAGGAACACAATAGCAGATTTATACCCAGTTGAATTTCAGTCTCTATCCCTACTCAAATCAAGCATTTGCAGCAGCTTGTCTGGGAGAGAGAGCCAATAGCCACCAGTCTAGATGTGATGTCTACTCTGCATGCTCTTGGAGCCAAACATGAGCCTTGCTGTCTCTCCTTCTTTGCCATCTGCAAAAGCAAACTCTCTGCCCAACAGGATGAAATGAGAATCAAATCCTTATTTGGAAGTCCCCTCTGTAGGGCTGCCTTCTCAAATCTTTTCCATCCAGGCAAAATTATATACCTAGGTACTACCAGGGAGAAATGCAATTCATTTTCAAGAATTTATTGAAACTTACACGAATAATAGACAAGCAGAGAGCCAAATCATGAGTGAACTCCCATTCAGAATTGCTACAAAGAGAATAGAATACCTCGGAATACAACTTACAAGGGACATTAAGGACCTCTTCAAGGAGAACTACAAACCACTGCTCAAGGAAATAAGAGGAAACAAACAAACGGAAAAACATTCCATGCTCATAGATAGGAAGAATCAATATCGTGAAAGTGGCCATACTGCCCAAAGTAATTAATAGATTCAATGCAATTCCCATCAAGCTACTATTGATTTTCTTCACAGAATTAGAAAAAACTACTTTACATTTCATATGGAACCAAAAAGGAGCCCATATAGCCAAATCAATCCTAAGCAAAAAGTACAAAGCTGGAGGCGTCACACTACCTGACTTCAAACTATACTACAAGATTACAGTAACCAAATCAGCATGGTACCGGCACCAAAACAAATATATAGACCAATGGAACAGAATAGAGGCCACGTAAATAACACCACACATCCACAACCATCTGATGTTTGACAAACCTGACAAAAACAAGCAAAGGGGAAAGGATTCCCTATTTGATAAATGGTGCTGGGAAAACTGGTTAGCCATATGCAGAAAACAGAAACTGGACCCCTTCCTTACACCTTATACAAAAATTAACTCAAGGTGGATTAAAGACTTAAACATGAAACCTAAAACCATAAAAACCCTAGAAGAAAATCTAGGCAATACCATTCAGGACATAGGCATGGGCAAAGACTTCATGACTAAAACACCAAAAGCAATTGCAACAAAAGCCAAAATTAACAAATGGATCTAATCCTAAAGAGCTTCTGCACAGCAAAAGAAACTATCATCAGAGTGAACAGACAACCTACAGAATGGGAGAAAATTTTTTCAATCTATCCATCTGACAAAGGTCTAATATCCAGAATCTACAAGGAACGTAAGCAAATTTACAAGAGTAAAACCAAACAACCCTATCAAAAAGTGGGTGAAGAATATGAACAGACACTTCTCAGCAAAAGACATTTATGTGGCCAACAAACAAATGAAAAAAAGCTCATCATCACTGGTCATTAAAGAAATGCAAATCAAAACCACCATGAGATACCATCTCATTCCAGTTAGAATGGCAATCATTAAAAAGTCATGAAACAACAGATACTGGAGAGGATGTGGAGAAATAGGAACACTTTTACACTGTTGATGGGAGTGGAAATTAGTTCAACCATTGTGGAAGACAGTGTGACGATTCCTCAAGGATCTAGAAATAGAAATACCATTTGACCCAGCAATCCCTTTACTGGGTATATACCCAAAAGATTATAAATCATTCTACTATAAAGACACATGCACATGTATGTTTACTGCAGCACTATTTGCAATAGCAAAGACTTGGAACCAACCCAAATGCCCATCAATGATAGACTGGATAAAGAAAATGTGGCACATATACGCCATGGAATACTATGAAGCCATAAAAAAGAATAAGCTCATGTTCTTTGTAAGAACATTGATGAAGCTGGAAACCATCATTCTCAGTAAACTAACAGGAACAGAAAACCAAACACCACATGTTCTCAGTCATAAGTGGGAGTTGAAAAATGAGAACACGTGGACACAGGGAGGGGAACATCACACACTGGGGTCTGTCGGGAGGTGGGGGTCAAAGGGAGGGAGAGCATTAGGACAAATACCTAATGCATGCGGTGCTTAAAACTTAGATGATGGGTTAATAGGTGCAGCAAACCACCATGGCACATGTATACCTATGTAACAAACTTGCACGCTCTGCACATGTATCCCAGAACTTAAAGTAAAATAAAAAAAATTAGTATGACTTGATTCCAAAAACAACAACCACAACAAAAAGAATTTATTGAAACTGTTTTAGGCACTATATTAAATGCCGGGGTATGAATACATGTAAACTGTGATCCTGTCTTCAAGGGTTATTCAGTGCTCATGGTAGCAGTAGGCACCTGGGGGAGGATGGGAGGGTTATAAGATGTGGTAATGAGTTCTCAGCAGGTGGAGGATAGACTGCAAGGACTTTATTCTGAAAAGGGCAAGGAACTAAGTTTAAAGGATGAGGAATAATGGAAAGAACATACTCGGCAGGGGAAATAGCATGAGCCAACACTTGCAGGCATTGCTGAGCCTACCTTTTTTCTTGAGGTTGCACAGTGGTCTGGGGGTACTTGGAGTATCAGGTTTCTTAGGGAAAGTACCTGGAGGTGATAGTGGTCAGAGAGTTTGGAGACCAAGTGGGAAAGGGCATATGAGCTACAGGATGATGAGTTTGTTTCCACAAAATTTATGGTCATTGTTCAGTTTTAGGAAATTTATGGTCATTGTTTGGTTTTAGGAAGATCACTCTGATAGTATTTTTGAGACTGCATGTTGGAGTGAGGAAAAAGGGGGCTCAGTTGTCTTTGGGAGTGATCGTGGGAAGCCAGACTGTGGTGGCATGATTTTATTTTAAATGAGAGAGAGGAAGAGGGGGTGAATGCCAGAGATTTTGGAAGTAAAATTAATAAACCTATAACAGATTTGATGGTCGAGAAAGAGAAATTAAGGAAGAGGCCATATTTCTGGTTTGAGAAGCTGGATGGAGACAGGAACTTGCTTGCTGTTGAAATTGGAGTTGGGTGGAGAATGAGCACCTTGGTTATGGGAGGTGGAGATGAGGTTGTAGATGAGTTGAGTTTGAGGCATCTATAGGTCATCCAAATGGGATGTCTGGTAAGGGGTTGAGCTCAGGAAGAAGGCCAGGTTCATGGGTGGTAGCTGACTGCCTGGCTGTGGCTGGATGATCCAGGGATCACTTGAATGGCAGAAGAGAAACACCAACAATGAAAAAGGAAAGAGAAGGGAAGATCAGGAATGCAGAAGGAAGAACTAGAGGAAGTCCTGCCTTCTGTTCAAAGCCTCCTAGGAAGAAAGTGTGCCAATCAGAAAGCAGCCTCCGTCAGTCCTGTGGCCATAGAAGCCCATCACACTGCTGTGTCCTGGGGCTTCCCTAGAAAAGTCCTGGCTGGGTGGAGCACTGGCAAGATGAAGGACAATGCAAAAGAGAGCCAGGTGGTTCTGCAGAATTGGCTGTCTTCGGGCCCCTCACTGGCTTCCCTTGGAGAGAGGTGACCTGCTGGGCCCCAAGCACCGGAACTGATAGAGCTGTTTAATTTAAACACATCACCCCAGCTGCACCATGGCTGGGCCCCTGGTGTCATGTTGACAGCCGCTAGCCGATTAAAGGTGCAGCTAGACTGGCGGGGCACAGTTCTGAGGAGCTGCTATTACAGCATTTATTAGCAGGACTGTAGTTAATGGTTAGCAAATGTTTTATGAACAGGTTCCCCATGGTCTGTGAAGGCTGATTCAGTCTATTCAGAATGGAATTGCCTTCCCCTATTAAGCTTAGGAGTGTATAATCAGTTCTTTCCCTCCGCTGAAGGATTTTCCCTGTGGCAGGAGTGGGACATTGGCCCTGTTTAAGTTAAATAGGGCTTGTTCTGAAGAAAGTCCTTGGTGGTAGGCTTGTGTGTGTCCAGGGATCTTATGTGGATTTTTGGCAAAGTGGAGACCACAGTGACTTGTTCCTTTTGGGTGGAGATAGTCTGGAAAACTGAATGGTCACAATAGATTCTGCTCAGCCTGGCAGAGAAAACCATGACCTGGGACCTCCTTGGTTCCGGTCCTGGCTGGGGTACTGGTTTCCTCCTCACCCTGGGCAGGCTATGCAACCTTCCTGCCTTTGGTCTCTTCACCTGTCGAGTACAGCTAATAACATCTTTCTTCCTCTCAGCTGATTATAGGAATTAATGACTGTGAAATGTATCTAGTGCAGGGAGCGGAAAGGGATTGAGATGGTGTAAATACTAAACATTCAAGGAGAGTTGGGAATTCCCATTGAAAGAGTAGGGGAAATATAATTTGGCATTGTTTTAGTCTGCTTGGACTGCTATAACAAAATGTGTAAACTAGGTGGGTTCTAAACAGCAGAAGTACTGCTCACAGTTATGAAGGCTGGGAAGTCCAAGATCAAGCAGTCAGTGTCCGGTGAGGACCTGCTTTCTGGCTCATACACAGAGCCTTCTTGCTGTGTCTTCACATGGCAGAAGGGGTGAGGGGCCTCTCTTGGGCCTCTTTATCATTTTTATTTTTAATTTTTTTAAATACAGTGTCTTGCTCTGTTGCCTAGGCTGGAGTGCAGTGGCACAATCATGGCTCACTGTAGCCTCAAACTCCTGGGCTCAAGCAATCCTCCTGCTCAGCCTCTCAAGTAGCTGGGACTCAAGGCATGTGCCACCATGCCCAGCTCTCTTGGGCCTCTCTTATAAGGGCACTAATCTCATTCATAAGGTTCCTCCCCCATGACCTAAGGCCCCACCTCCTCGTACCATCTCTTTGGGGGTTAGGATTTCTATATATGAATTTTAGGGGGACACAGATGTTCAGATCATAGTGTTCATTAGCCATATATTTGATATCAAATTGAATTCCTGAGAGTATTTATTCAGGATAAGTAACAGTTTAGGATGGATACATAAAGCATTGACTATTTCTATTAGAAATAGAAATGGGCTGTGATTTCTGTTCTTAATTCAAGGAGAACTAATACTGTTTTTTCATTAATGACAAATGGGCAAGGAGGGTAGAGCCACAAGACTGGCTTACTTTTCCCTATAAAACCAAGGCTTAAGAAATATTGTCCCTTGGGAAATCAGGGGGTTCAGCTTTTCAACCCTCCAACTTGTGCTTAAACAGATGTTTCTTTTATCTGTGTGCTTTTTACTGAAATTATTTTCACTAAATTACACATTGAAACCACAGACACTCAATGGCTGGTAGGCAGATGACCGTATCTCTTCAATGCCTTTTCTGTTTCTCAGTGGAAGGGCCTCTCTAGCCTAAAACTACTGAAGGGCAGGGTTTTGGTTGAGCCATTTGTATCTGCTATCTTACATCTTCTATTGAAAAAGAATTTGAGATATTGCTTAGAAAACTTGAGAACTCAGCCTGGTTCTCGTATTTGGCAGATAATTGACTTTGGACAATTCTCTTAATGTCTCCGAACTTTGTCTCATCCAAAAAAAATAAGTAGTGTAATAAGGCCCACATTATAATGTTGTGGAGATGTCATGGGACGTTGTGTATGAAAGGTCTGTGCATGTGCCAGATGTGGGGATTCTTGGCCAGAGTGGAAAAGGAGGTAAATGAGTAAATCTAGCAGTACCATCTAGTGCCCTGAGCCCACATGGCTTCTCTCTCTCTCCTGAGGTCAACCTGACGTCTTCCTTTCTTCTTCTGGGGAGTGGCCCACTGACTGCTGAGTGCTTCTGTGGGCAGAGGTCTTGGAGTCCTTAGTCCACCCAAAGACCTTCCCTAGATGATTCTGACCCTGATGATCAAAGGATGTCCTAGGTGTGTTTACTAAGAATAAACTGCAGAGCAGCCTGTTCTCAGAGCCCAGCACCTGCCTGCAATGAAAGCAGACTCACCGAGAACGCCCTTACCAGGCACCCTGCTCTCCGCTTGACGCACACTGTCCCACCTAATTCGCCCAGCCCAGCCCGCTGGGAGGTGGGTGCCGTGGTTCCCTTCCCACGGGTCAGGGGCTGAGGCTCAGAGAGGTGAAATGACTTGCTCAATGTTATATAGCTAGTGAAGAGTTGTGCCAGTGGGATACCTGTAGGAAACAGCTGTTGCAGGCAGTGGGTGTGACTGAGGGGACTTTCATGGAAAGGACTTTTTTGAAAGCTCTCTTGGCAAAGGTAAGGGAATATGCTCAGGGACTAACACCAGCAGGAAGCAGTTACCACCTAGGGCTGAGGGGCAGGGCAGGGAATAGTGTTACTGGTGGAGGGAGCTACCCTGGAGCCCTGGCAGAGGTCCCCGACAGGAGCTGTAACTACCAGGGTGCGGTGTTGAGCAGGAGGTGAGGAGTAAATGCCTAGTCTTTCTTTCCTCCCTCCTGAAGGTCTCCTGCAGGTGCCTCCAACCAGCTGAGGCTCAACCCAACCCTAAGCCAGAGGGCTGAGAGGCCAGGGGATGGGTTAGTAGTGCTCAGCTTCCCAGGCTCAGGGCGGGGTGGAAAAGGTCAGAGAGAATGTATGGGGGAAGGGGCCAAGGGAGCATAGCCATCATGCAGACCTAAGCCTGACAGCAGACAACATTGGGCCCATTGCCATCTCACTAAGCTGAGTTAGTGTTATCCACTTTCAGATAGAGTGTAGTTGCCACATGGTGATTTCAGGCTGGATGAATAAAAACAGTAAAGCACCTGATCATTGTTCCTCCGGGTGACTGTGAGAAGGGCTGTTGCCTTTCATGTGGTCCTAGAGCCAGGCCTGGTGCCGTAGCTGCCAAGTTGAGTCTCCCAGGCTTGGCCCAGCTTTACATTTACACAAGGTATATATATATATATACCTGCAACAGCCGTGTGTGTGTGTATATATATATATATATACCTGCAACAGCTGTGTATATATATATATATATATACACACACACACACACACACACACACATATATATACGTGTATATATAATATATAATTTTATATATATATATATATATATATAATTTCAACTTTTTAGATTCATAGGGCACATGTGCAGGTTTGCTGCATGGAGTATATTGTGTGATGGTGAGGTTTGGGATACAAATGATTCCATCACCCAGGTAATGAGCATAGTACCGAATAGTTAGTTTTTCAACCCTTGTCCCCTCCCTCCTTCTCCTGTCTAGTAGTAGTCCCCAGTGTCTATTGTTGCTGTCTTTGTATCCATGAGTACCCAGTGTTTAGCTCCCACTTATCAGTGAGAACATGCAGATTTGATTTTCTGTTCCCGTGTTAATTCGCTGAGGTTAATGGCCTCCAGCTGCACCCATGTGGCTGCAAAGGACATGATTTCATTCTTTTTATGGCTGTGTAGTATTCCGTAGTGTATATGTACCACATTTTCTTTGTTCAATCCATTGTTGATGGGCACCTAAGTTGATTCCATGTGTTTGCGATCGTGTGTAGTGTTGCAAGTATTTTGAAATGCTGTTTTTATCATGTCACTACCTTGAAACTGCAGCAGTTAGACCTGCTGCTAGATCTTGTTTAATGCATCAGTGAAGAAACACTTGTATCACTATATCACGAGTTTAAAAAATATTTTGAAATACCCGATTTCAATATAATTTGTGTCCTTTATAATACTATGCATCTTGTTTTTTGCATTTATAAGTGCTATTCTGAGAAGGGATGTAAAGGCCTCCCCATGGCAGGTGCACACGAAAGACCCAGAACCCCTGGGCTGGATGATTTTAGACCCTGGTACATTGATCTGAATCATAGGTACTAGATTGTGGTGAGTGATGGCTCAGTGATCTGGGTCATAATGTCTGGCCAGTGGCTTCCCATGCCCTGAGGCTGAGGATCTTGGACCAACCTCCAGGAGTACGCCTGAGATGGTTTTTGGCTCTTTCTGCATCTGGATTTACTGATCTAAATATTGATCCTTTCTCATGACCACACTTCTGAGGCAAGTGTCCCGAGAAAGGAGAGTGGGGACAGATGAGCCCGAACCTACCAAACGGACAATGGTAAACCAGAAGATGATCACCTTCAACTTGGCATTTTCTCAAAGTGGGACCCACTCATCATCACCTGCCTACTTTGGAATCACTTGGGAAGCTTCTTAGAATGTAGGCTCCCACAGTGTCCCCCTCAGTCCTGCTGAGTCAGCATTTTGGGAGCAGGGCCTGGGGATCTGCATTTCATGAGCCTCTTGGGTGATTTGGGGCACACGGATGTTTGAGAACCAGAACCACTGCTGTAGATTCCCTGTGCCCCTGGGACTTTTAATTTGACTCGAAGTTTGAAGTTTTAATTGAATTTTAAACAACATACCTAATTTTCTAAACCAAGTTGCACGCTGGTTGGATTGAAAGAATGCAAGTGGGGAGAATCATTGCTATTAGCGCTGTCTAGGTCTCTTCTTGCTCCTGTTCAGCATAACTAGAGGTCCTATTGTTAGGCTGAGCTGTGGCTGCTGTCCTCTCTGGTTGGGCTACTTTTCATAAGAGAAATAAAGCAGCCAGTCACCGTACTAGCAGGGTCTTTCTCCCACTGCCCTGGAAGGCAGGAGAAGTAACGTTTCCACTGTTCAGTCCTTTTCAAGTGGTTACTCTAGGGATCCGTTGCCAAGGACTGGCCAGTGGGGATCCTCTCTCCTTTCAGTGAGCCTGCTCAAAGCCCTCTCCTTATAACAGGGGGCTCCTTCCAGGACCCAGTGCCCTAGTTGGATCAGTGGCACAGACACTCGGTAGCAGGGGCACACCAGAGCTCAGAGATTAGATAACAGCATAACAGCCCCTTTGGCCTCCAGTAACTGGAGTCCCAGTTGACCTGGACTGTTCTATTTTTCCCCTGAAGTTTTGCATTCCAAGGCCAGTCATTTGATCAAGTGAAATGACAAGGCTGTGGTTTTATATAGTGCCTTTAATTGAAGCGTTTAAAGTGCTATTCAAAGGTCAGAACTTCCAAAGGGATAAGTGCCCATGCCATTTATGTTCTTTAAAATATTAGGATAAATGAAAAGCAGTATGCTGGCGCCCCACTGATGGGTTTACACTTTCCAGATCTTCATTAGTGCTTCTGAAGATTGCCAGCATTAAATGGATGATCCATTTGAGAGCAGCGAGCCTGCAGATACACAGTATCTGTGCTGCGAATAATAATTCCAGCTTTCGTTTAAATTGCTCTTTCTCTAGAGCATGATTTCTTTTATGAGCAATATTTTTATGGCCTAGTCACATCCTCCTTTGTTCAGATGGTTTAATGCACTGAACTCTGGCCCGGGTTTCCTCTGTATGACCTCAAGCCTCAGCCTAGCCACCCAGGAAATAGGAAGCTATTCCCAGTCTCTTCTCTCCCATGAGAACCCTTTAGTTCTTTATATATTTTGCTCCGTGGTTTCCTGTGTTGAAAGATGTTACCCACTAAATAAATGGCTCTGATGTTATGATGCTTTTGTTTTTCCACTTTTAATAATCAAAATATATTTTCTAATTACAGTTTCTGATTAGCATGGGGACCGGTAATGCTGAGTTGATATCATTCCAGTCAAAGGCAAAGAAATGTGACATTTTGTTTCTCCTGTGGGACTTTATCAAGGATAAGCAAACAAATGAAGCCTGTTAGGCTTTGGAATATATTGAAAATAGCTTGCAGTGACCTGTTATGACATTCAAGGGCCCCTAGAGGTTGGGAACTACAGGGTTAGTGTTCTTTCTGTTCATTCACTTGTTTATTCATTTGTGCAGCAAAGTTGAATGGGGTAGGCGCTATGCTGGGTTCTGGGGTTGAATATGATGGACAAGAATCTGCTCTCAGTGGAGGACAGATGAACAAACAAGAAAAGCCCAGACATGGACAAATGCCATAGTAACAATAAAACAGGATATGAGGACGGAGGGACAGGCCACTTTAGATCAGGCAGCTGGGGAAAGAGTCTCAGAGGAAGGGACATTTATGATGAGACTGGAATGACAGGTAGCAGTCAGCCACGCTAAGATCATCTTTGATGGCATTGGCACAATGGCCAGAGTAAGCTCACACATATGTAAGTGTGATTTCAGTCTTATTGCAAACTACTTTTGAAAAAAATCAGTACAGCCATTAAGCAGACAGCTCATCCCAGGGGATCAAAGCATGCACTGGACTTCCTCGAAGTGGCCTGTTTACTTTTACTGTCTCCCTAAGTAACGTGTGATCTCCTTGCAGGCAGGGATGCTGACTTGCTCTCCCTGATAGCCACAGAGCCTAATTCAGTGCCTGGCACAGAGGAGGCATGCCTGAGTGAATGACTGAATGAATGAACTGTGTGGATTTTTGCTTTCCTTGGGTTTTGCCTAACTACACTATTGTGGGATTCTTACCAAACGATGGCAGGGGCTCAAGGGTGTGTAAGATCTGGTAAGAGAAGCCCAGAAGGGTCTTACCAGCCTTGATCAGACTTAAATGCTATGATCTAAAAACCAGCATGAGAAGAAAAGATTTAGTCCTCAGTAAAATATGGATGCCCTGCTATGTCTCTCGTTAGAAAGCATGGATGCCGAGGTGGTGAAGAAACCTGTCTAATCAGAAGCTAAGTATTTGTGGGCTTTGAGCTCCTGGGAAGCAGCAATAGGAGAATCTAGTAATGGAAGCAGGCAACTGCTTTTTAGTGGCGGCAGGACCATCCTGGGATTCAGGCTAAAAAATGGAGCAGATGCCTCAGGGGAAGTGGTGGGATTTCTGGCGTGGCATGGTCCCTGGTTGCATTTTTGTCGGCCTTATTTTGAAGAGTGGTCTTGATCAAAAACCAGACTTAGCTAAGATCTGAACCATGGCTATCGGGGTTGGAGCTGTGTAGGACGGGAGGGCATGACAGGGCGGGTGGGGAAAAACTGGGGTTTGAGAAGAGTCCCACTTACTTGGGTGAGGTGTTCACCCAGCTGCAGGTGCTAGCGGGTGAGTTGGCACCTGTAAGTGCAGGGTTCAGGCGTTATAACTGTCTTTAGTCTCAGATCTACCAGATGAAGTGACTGACTGCCCCCCGGAGTCAGGGTTCTCTACCTATTATGTTGGGGTACAGACAGTGGATATGAGGACAGGCAAAGAACCTGGCATTATCAGGCAGGTCCCGGGCCTTGAAGAAGTGCCCAGTGGAACACCAGCACAGGCATATAGGTCCAAAAAATGCCACCCAAGACTAGGGCTTGGGGGCAAGTGAGCTGTTTGGGAGCCTGGGGCTCTGCTTTCGTGTGGGGCCAGAACTGGTTAAACCCCTTCTGCCGCAGCTTAGGGTTAGGCCGGGCTGAGTGAGTGGCTCCAGCTGTGAGGAACTGGGACTAGGCACTCAGAGGCTGGTGACAAGCAAGGACTGATGCTGTAGCCCTCACGGCTCTCCTCCTTTTGAAGGAGGAGGGACACCAGATGAGATATTGGACACCCAGTTCTATTTCGGTTTCAGAGAAAAAACAAATAATTTTTATTACACATCTCAAATAATGCATGAGATGTTTTGTAGTTGATCTGAAATTCAAATTAATTGGGTGTCCTGTATTTTTGTTTGTTAAATCTGGCAGTCCTCACTTGAAGGCAAAAGAAGCTCCCAAAGAGGCCCTGGATTTCTAAAGCGCCTGCCGCCGGTGCTGTCCTGTGCAGTGGAGGCTGATTGAGGCTGGAGTTGCTCTCCCACCTCCCTGAGGATATGTCCCTCCTGGGTCAGTGGTGAGCTGAGGGCAGGAGCTAGAGTGCCAGGCTGCTGCAGTGGGAAGGGGTGTCTTGGCTGAGCAGAGGAAGGATGCTCTGGTGTCCCGCAGGAGGCCAGGCTTCCGTGGGGAGCAGGCCGCTGCTCTTTGAAAAAGTGTCCTGAGTGCGGGTGGTATCAGCCCTGGAAAATGCCCAGCTTCTCACTCTGTTGTTTGACCTCTAGGGTATGCCCTAGTGACCCCTAGGATGTGACCTCTCTGCTGTCATCCACCCAGCTGTAAGGGTCACATATGTTTCTGCCAGGTGAAGGTTCTGTGCTTTGTAGAGCGGGGACACCAAGGCTCACAGAAGTACAGGGAGACAAGGACTTGGTGCCATGTGGAGTGCTGAGGCTGCAGCTTAGATCTCTGGACCCCTAGGTCAGCTTAGAGTCCACGGGAGGGGGTAGGGGGCAGTGTCCTGGGTGCTACTTCTGACTTTGCTGCCAAGGACATTCAGGTGAAGGGATGCCTCAGGATTATCAGCCTCTTCCAGCAGGATGGTCCCGTGGAGCGCCATCGGGTAGCTCAGCACTCAGTGGGGTATCTCCTTGGCAGGTGGCACATTTTGGTCACCACTGAGGAAATGCTGTCAGCCCAGGGCTCACACAACTGGGCAGGAAGTTGAGCAACATGTTTTTAAGTTGAAAATGAGAGTTGGGTGGGCGGAGGGGAGGGGGAAATGTCCACCAAGCTATTTCCGAAATCTTTGTCATTTGCTGTCACTTTTGAGTACAAGGAAAGACATCCTCTAAGACAGTCAATGTGAAGGCTTTATTTTGGTGATTGAGCAAGGAAGCGGTGGAAGCCCCAGTAAATGGTGTCCCAGTCCCTGAACCCACAGAGGCAGTCACAGCAGGGCAGCAGAGAAGGGGCCTCTGATCCCTGCCCATGATCTCCAGGCCCTCGGCTTGCCTGGTATTAGTCAAGGTTCTTCAAAGAAACAGAGCCAGTATGAGAGAGAGAGCTGGACTGATTTTAAGGCATTAGCTCATGCAATTGTGGGGACTGGCAACTCTGAAATCCAAAGGTCCGGCTAGCAGGCTGGAAGGGCAGGTAAGAGTTGGTGTAGTCTTGAGCTTGAGATCTGTAGGGCAGGCCTGGCAAGCTGGAATCTCAGACAGGGGTTCTGTGTTGCAGCCTTGAGGCAATTTTCCTTCTTTGGGAAACCTGACTTTGCTCTTAAGTCTTTAACTGATTGGGTGAGGCCCACCCATATTATGGAGGGTAATCTGCTTGGCTCAAAGTCTACTAATTGCAAATGTTAATCACAACTAAGAATGCCTTCACAGCAACATCTAGACTGGTGCTTCACCAAGCAACTGCGCACTGCAGCCTAGCCCGGTGGATGCATAACATTCACCGTCATGCCTTCCCTCTGCACCATCTTGATCCGCTGGGCCTGTTAGTCCCTGACTGTTGCCTGCATGAGGAGAGGGCCAAGGAAGGGTGTAACCACATGTGCCCAGAGTCAGAAATCTGGGGGCGATGCAGCAAGTCAGGTTTTCCACCCTGTTCATTTCATTGCCTCCATCCAGCGAACTTTCTTGCCCTGAAGGTGGTTTCTCCGAGGTGGCGCAGCATCTCTTGGCCTGATTCCTTGACTTCATCTCTGTGGGAAGAACGCCCCTCTCTGTTTCCTGCCCTTTCCACTTTAGTTATAATTTGGCCGTGACTCACAGGCTGTCTCTCCAGTGAGGTCCCACACAGAGAAGTCCCCTGTGGGTATTTTGCTATCCCCAAATGCCAACAGCTGTCATGGAGAATCCCTCACCTCCAAATAGCACATTTGCTATTTGAAAAAAAAAAAAAAACAAAAAACTTTTTGCTTTATAATAATTTTAGAGTTATAGAGACGTTATAAAGAGACTAGGGAGTTTCCATATACCCCTCACCCAGTTCCCCCTGACGTTGTCATCTTAGGTTACTGCAGCACATGGTCACAAGTAAAACACCAGCACAGATGCTTCACTGTTAACTGAACTCCAGACTTTATTCAGATTTTACTAGTTTTCCTCCTGATGCCCCTTTCTGTCCCAGGAGCTGATCCAGGCCCCCACGTTGCATTTAGTGCTCCTTCCCTTTCGAGGCAGGCTTTGTCTGTCTGCACTTGCTCCTTCTCACTCCGCCCCTTTTTAGTCCTCCCTCCACTCCTCCCCCATCTACGTGACACTGACCGGAAGCTGCTGGTCATGCCTGTCCATCTGTGTTCAGAGGCCTAACCCAGGGCTCTCTACCTTCTTACGTGCTGGGAAGAAGGGAGCCGCCTCGGCCGCTTGGTAAATATTTTACAACAACTAATGGGATCAAGTTGTTTACTCTGCAGGAAACAGAAAGGCATTAGTTAAGGAAAGTAACAAGCTGGCTGTTGCTGATGCTTCAGGTTTAGCGAGAGGCCTGGGAGCTTGAATGATTTCCACTTAAGGAGTAGTCATGCTGGCCCACAGCTAGAACATCCCAAATGTGGTTCACTTCTGCTTTTTCTTGGCGCAGGACTCTGGCCACCAAAGCCCCGAGTGGCCAGGACATGGTATACAAGCTCTTTGTGGTCAGAGAATCTGGGAACCCACACGTCCCCATCGCTGCCCATTGTATTTATTTTCTGTTCATTTGGCCCTCCCACCCCTACCTCCTGGTCCCATACTTTTCCATACTTTGCCCCCCAAGAATTTCATTTCACAGAAGAGTGAAATAAAAATGTTTATTATTTAAACCAAGGCACATAAAGGCTGCTGTAAATTGTTTTAATGCCATTTACAAGCTGTGCGTTGTAGTAAAGTTTAATGTGCAGTCAGAAGGGAATCAGTGAGGAAGGGCTGAGCAGAATCCCCAGTGAAGGGGGAATGGATTTCATAGGCCACAAGTTTGTGGTTGGGTCCCCTCCTTCCAGCCAGGCTGCTGGCCTGCTGCTCTGAGAAGAGCTGCCTACCTTGGCCCTTCCTGCTTTTCCCTGTGGCTGCTTCTATCTCCCAGTCTGACATCTCCCCCAACCTCTGACCTCCACCCTCACCCCTGCCACACACATGATGAGTCTTGGGATTCTCCATGACCTGAGGGCCAGCAGTTGAGCTTCCAGGATGGTTCCATGTCCCGGCCCAGCAGGCACAGTGGCCACTTGCTTCTCCTCTGAGGTAGCTAGTGTCCCCTGGTGACCAGGGAGCTGAACAGCTGAGCCAGCTCAGCTCTGGCTGGGAGCGTTCAGGAGCCCTGAACACTGGACTGGACTTTGGAGATGGCTGAGGAGCCTCGGGTCTTCTTTCTGGGTAGTCTTGAGCAAAAATCATTCCTGCTTTGGGCATTTAGTAAGTGTGAGCTTGCATGGGATACCATAGAATGAGCTGAAGACACAGAGCCCACCCCTGAGAAGGAGAGTCCAAGACAGATGACACCAAAAAAGACAGACAGAGGCCACATCTGTAGTAGAGCAGATGAGGACTGCAAAGAAAGCATGCAAGTGGGTCAAGGTGTTAGGCTGTAGAGAATCGCTAGATGAAATATACGTTACGGGACCTCGAGGGACTTGCAAGGCAAGAAAGGGAGGTTTCTGAAGGCAACATGCTCTCTCCCTTCTCATTCACAAGGGAAAGCTGGCTGGACAGGACAAGGGGAAAGGAACAGAGGTGGAACTGAAGGTTGGAGGGGGCATTTGGCCAGTGACGGGCACCTGTGGGAATGAGCCGGTCAGGCACAGGGCACTGGCTTGAATCCTGATGAGTGGTAGGGAAGTCAAGTTCAGTTCCTGATCTCAAGGACGTGGGGCACTTCTCTGGGGTTTGGGATAGGGAGTTGACCTGGCCTACAATGAAGAGGGCAATGACAGCAACACAGAGCAAGGGGGTCACATAGAGCTCCTGGCACATCATGTGGGCAGGGGAGAGAAGTGAGACGTGGTTCTGATGGGCAGCTCAGCCCAGAGGCGTGATGGCAGAACTCCATAGGAGGATGCTGAAATTGCTGCTGCGGGGAGGCAGGGGAGGCAGGGGAGGCAGGAGTGGGGGTGGGGAGGCAGTCCCAGGGCCTGGTTATCTCCAGCACTGTCTTATTTTTGCTCCCAAGAATCTATCCATTCAGCACTTTAGCTTCCAGGGAGAGGTCTTTCCAGCCTTAGGCTTCTTGGCTGAGTCTTGCAACCCCACCACCATTAGGACTGTCTGCTAATAAAGAAGTAGAGCCCTGTCTTCCTTTTGCTGAACTACCTGATCAGGCTCCTCATGGGGAGAAGTGGCTGGTGCACATTTAGGCATTTCTGTGTCCCCTATTCAAAAGCCACAGAGCCAGCAGGGCCCCAAATCTTCAGTTCCTAACAGAAAGTAAGCAAAAAGGCCACTATGGGCTTCCTACCCCTATACCACCAATCCTGGTGTGGGAAAAACATATACCTGGTGGTCCTTGCAGGTGATGGGGTTATCCCTGACTCTGCACATCCCCTTCTGGGCTCAGGGCAAATGGTTTCATGGCCTTCGGGTCTGGCCCTTTTCACTCAGAGTGGTAGGAGCTGGCTGTTGGGCATTTGGAAGCGTCTCACCTGCTCAGCAGCTTTGGATTAAAATGTTTTAAATCTTATGGACCCTAAGCTGGAGTCCCAGGGAACTGGTGCTTGGCTGCGAGCCGATGCTGTTGAGGACAGGCTGGGTACCGGCATTGAAACAACCTGGAGTTGAAGGAAGGTGGGCCAGCTTCGGTGCCCACCCCACAGCTCCTGGTGTGTGTCATTCCCTTTGTGGTTGTGGCTGGGAAGAAGACTCCATCCCAGCCTGTCCCTTTAGGCATACAACTCATTTGCAGAGCTAGTGAAAATGCAGATTCCAGGACCTGCTTGCAGAGTTTATGATTCAGTACATCCTGGGTATGGCTCAGGAATCCATGTCTTGAAAATGCTCTCCTGGGCCATCCCAATGTGCAGCTACATTTGAGAACCCTTGCTCGAGTGCACCTCCTCTTCTAGAAAGGAACCCCTCAAGGTCACTAGCTCAGAGTCTCATGACTTTGGGTCTGGAAGGGAGACTAGGGAATGCCTTGGGGCCTAAGAAATGTTGCTTGTAGTGTCCATCATCTCCCAGAGTACAGGGTCCTCAGAAAGGACCAATTCTGAAGCTCTTCAGGCCCAGAGAGTAGCTCCAAATGGGAATCTGTGGCCCTGGGATGCCCTGTCTTTTGGTAAAGTTGTAAGGTAGGGAGCCACCTGAGGATGGTGAGAGCATCTGAGGCTTGGGATGAATTAGGATTCTCCCAGCAGGATAACCCACTTCCCCAGGGAATGATGCCACACCACAGAAAAGCCTGGCAAACAGTCCACTCGCAGATATCATGTCAGGGGTTTCCTACTTCCCTTCCCACCATGGCTTGCTGGGTCTGATTGGGAATGGGGGCAGGGCTACAGGTGAGGCTTCCTGGAGCCCCTGTTCTCAACCACCTGCTGTCAAGCCCTGGTCTATGTTCTCCTAGAGGAGCATGCACTCCCCTGCTAATCACTGCTGTTAGGCAACCTGTGTTCTTCAGGGTTCTGTGGGGAAGGTGATCTATGCTGTGAGATTACACCCCACACAGGAGGTTCTACTTCCAGCCAAGCCACTTCTTGGCATTTGAGCCCACATGAGGAGTTCAACTGCCCGGAACTTTAGTTTCTCCACCTGTAAAAGGAGATTTTGATTTCTGTGTTGCCTCGCTTGTAGGAACATTTCAAAGACTGAATGAGCTGATAGATGTGAGAATATCTTGAAAATTCTAAAGCAAGGTCCATGAACTTGAAACGAGTGATATAAATGAGTGAGCCAGGCAGTGAAGAATGGTGGGCACTGGGGAGACCTGGAAAACGAAATTAGATTTGATTAAAAAAAATACTGTAGGTTCCTGATAATTCATATCTATGGGCCAAATTTGGTCTGTAGGCCATTGACCTCTACTGCAAACTATTGTTCAAAAGCCAGGTAGTTATCATAAGTTTCCATACTACATTCATAAGTTTCCAACTACATAATGTAGCAATGTTCCCACCAATGCCCTACAGAGTATTTTGGGCCTGGATGTATATATGTGTAGTACTTTAAGAATATGGGTTCCAGGCCACGCGCGGTGGCTCACGCCCGTAATCCCAGCACTTAGGGATGCCGAGGCGGGTGGATCATGACGTCAGGAGATCGAGACCATCCTGGCTAACATAGTGAAACCCCGTCTCTACTAAAAATACAAAAAAAATTAGCTGGGCGTGGTGGCACGCACCTGTAATCCCAGCTACTTGGGAGGCTGAGGCAGGAGAATCGCTTGAACCCAGGAGGTGGAGGTTGCAGTGAGCAGAGATTGTGCCGCTGCACTCCAGCCTGGGCGACAGAGCGAGACTCCATCTCAAAAAAAAAAAAAAAAAGAATATGGGTTCCAGAGTCAGCCAACTTAGGTTCAAACCCCATATCTGATACTTCAGCACATTTAAACTTCTATTCTCATTTTTTTCTTTTTTATATGTAAAATGTGGATGGTAACAGCACCTACCTCATTGGAATCCTGTGAGGACTGAGTGTGATAATCCATGAAAAGTGATTAGCACAATGGCTGCTCATAACTTGTTCAATAGAAGTTTAATATTATTATTGTTGTTGTTACTCTTCTCTACTTTATTCCACAAAGGATTGGAGTGGCCTGTGCAGCAGTGGTAACAGGATGATAGTATAGAATAAGAGATACAGGTGAAAAAGAGTAGGAACTTAAGAGCAGACAGAGATGACCACAGAGGTTTCATATGGTTCCTGTTGTAAAATTTTACATTTTACTTTAAGCTTCCTGATAACCTCAGGAAACAGGGAGAAATGGCCAGTTAAAATCGGCTTATCAAGGCCAGGCATGGTGGCTTGTTCCTGTAATCCCAGCACTTTGGGAGGCTGAGGCGGGCAGATCACTTGAGGTCAGGAGTTCGAGACCAGCCTGGCCAACATGGTGAAACCCTGTCTCTACAAAAAATGCAAAAATTAGCCAGGCGTGGTTGTGGGTGCCTGTAATCCTAGCTACCTGGGAGGCTGAAGCAGGAGAATTGCTTGAACCCGGGAGGCGGAGGTTGCAGTGAGCCGAGGTTGCGCCACTGAACTCCAGCATGGGCGACAAAGCAAGAATTTCTCAAAAAATAAAATAAAATCAGCATATGAAAATGGGGGAGGGGTCATGGAAGTTCCTCCTGGGTCCATCCTTATCTTTTGTCCAAAAAAAGAAGTTGAAAAGACTTTGATCCTTGATTAATGGGCTGTGAGTGTACCTGGACACCTCAGTGTGTGGATGTTAGAGACCAGTGTTTCCTCATTTGGCACATCTGAGCTCAGCTTGGCACCACAGTTGTTAAACCTCAGCTGGTCTCTTGATTCTGAGACATGTAGAAATGGCAAGGCCTCTGAAGTTCAAGGTTTGGGCCAGTTTTCTCATCTTCCTGAACGCCCCAGATCATGGATGCTGCTCATATCCTTCAGTAGTCTCATCCCTGCCTGCACCTTATACCTAACCCTCTCCCTGAGCAGCCTGGTCATTCTTCTGTACCCCTTATACACATGGATCCTGACATCTGACCTCTGCCTCCACCTCCCCTCTTGAAGTCTTTTCTGAAGTTTTCCCAGACAGTGCTTTCCTGTGAACGTAGCTGGTTTGAATTCCCCATGCCTGACGGATCTGCTACCCTATAGTTTTTTTTTTTCTGTTGAGATGGAGTCTTACTCTGTTGCCCAGGCTGGAGTGCAGTGGTGCAGTCTTGGCTTGCTGCAACCTCCACCTCCCATGCTCAAGTGATCATCCCACCTCAGCCTCCTGAGTAGTTGGGACTACAGGTGTGCACCACTAATTTTTGTATTTTTGTATTTTTGTAGAGATGGAATTTCGCCATGTTGCCCAGGCTGGTTCTGAACTCCTAGACTCAAGCAAACCACCCACCTCGACCTCCCAAAGCGCTGGGATTATAGGCATGAGTCACCTCACCCGTAGTATAGCTGCTACCCTATACTTCTGTCTATCCAAAAGCACTTGGGATCAAGTGTAGCCAGTATGTAATTTCTAGAAGAATCTTTTGTAGTTTGTGCTCTGTTAATAGGGAGTATTGAAGTACAAGTTCCTAGAGTGGAGAGACTTCACATCTGTTTATCTTGCTCTGAATTACATCCTAGGCACAGAGGACACTTAATAAATCAATGTCCCCGTGAAGATGGTGGTGGTGTCAGTAAATGATAATAATCGAGAATCCCAAGAGGAAAACATTACTTGCTTTGAATGTGAACCTCAGTTTTCAGGGAAAGAAAGCTCTATCCAGTGTGTTTATTTTAAGAGGGCAGTGTGTTGAGTTTGTGAACACAATGAGATGGCCCGGGTGAGATGAGTGGTGTATTATTTTATTGCTGTGTCCTTCCAAATATTTCTGGGAACTCTGATGTGTCAGGACAAAAGGCCTGTCTTTCTATAACAACCTGTGGCTTTAAAAGGCTTACTAATGGGAACATGAAGAAACAATTACATGAAAAAGTTGATCTTTGGATGATTAAAGGGTCTTCTAAAAATATGTCGCTAGTCCTTCACTGTGCCTTGACAGAGTACAGTACATGAAGTTGGCAGCCTGCAAACTTGACAACAGCACAGAGGGCGGGGCCTTCCAGTGCTGGTCCCTGGGATGCAGGGAGCACGCTGTAACTGCAGGGCCATTCCCTGGTCATCCTTTATTCTTGTCCACCCCACCACTGATTTCATCACTGTTGTATCTATGGTTCCACTGTACCTTGTATGGATATCTGCTGTCATATTGTATTTTCATTCTTTATTTATAGATCGTTCTCTCTGGACTGTGGGAAGGACCAGTGTGGTGTGGTATCTTAATCATCTTTATATGCACAGGACCTAGTAGGTAACAGGCCCTCAATATATACTTGTTGAATGAATTAAATAATTTATGGAAAAGCACTAAAAAAAAAAATCACCTGATCCATCCCTTCCTTGTAATATGGAGGATCCTAGAGAGTTTTAATATCTTGTCTGGAGCCCCACAGCCAGACCATGGCCCCTGCAGGGACCAGATCCATTGCTTCCCATCTTCAAGCACAGTGTTTTTGGCTGGAGTCCTTGAGCTGTGGATTTTCCCCTCTTGTTTGTCTACACTGTTTCTTCTTCACTCATTCATTAACTGATTCCTACCTTATTTATTGAGGAGCTACTATGGACAAGACAAAGTAAAACAAATTTTAAAACCCCACTCATTTTTATTTTAGCAAGGGAGGATAGCCAATAAATAATAAGCGTAGTTAACAAGGTAAATCAGAAAAAGGTAAATGCTAAGTAAGAAAGAAAAAGAGCATGGACTGGGGGAATACTGAGGCAGGAGCAGGCTACAGCATTACAGGGGGGTGAGTGAGAAAGTGAGATTTGAGCACTTACTTAAGGAGGTGAGGGACTTAGTCTTGCAGATATCTGGGAGACATATGTTCCAGGCAGAGAAAACTAAAGCAGAGGCTCCAAGTTAAGAGTGCTTGGAGCATCTGACGAACAGCAAGGGTCAGGTATAGCCAAAGTGGAGTGTGCTGGGATGAGGAGAAAGGGGAGAAGTAGGAGGTGAGGTGAGACAGGTGACCGTGGCCATATCCAGCATGGCTTTGTAAGCTGTAAAAGGGACTTTGGCTTAGGTTCAGAAGGAAATGGGGAGCCATTCAAGGGTTTTGAGGAAAGGAATGACATGATCTGACTTGTTTTAGAAAGGACCATTCTAACTGTTGTATTGCAAATAGACTTTGGGAGAGCACAGGAGGAAGGAGGGAGACTTATTAGGAGGCTATTAAATAAGCCAGGCCTGAGACGGTGGAGGCTGGAACCAAGGTGGTAGCAGCAGCGGAGGTGGCGAGAAGAGTCAGATACTGGATATGCTTTGAAGCAAGAACCAGTGCGATTTCCTGATGGATTGGATGTGGAGAGTAAGGAAGAGGAAGGGAGTGAAGGCTACCCCAAGGTTTTCATCTCAACAGATGAATGGATGGAGTTGCCATCAATGGAGATGGACCAGGCTGTGGGTGGAGCTGGATTCCCCACCACCCATCCAGGTGTAGTTTCATCCCAGGGATGAAAGAGGAGCTGGGAGACTATGGGAGGCTTCCCATCCCAGGGTGACTGCAGACCCCACACTATGTCTGAGCCCTCCTTCTTTTTTCTTCACCAATTCAGATGTCATCTTGTCAGTATTCCCTTTATGATTCATCATTTCTTTCATAGCACCCACCTCGATTAACTTTACCTGGCTCAGGTCTCCCAGTTCATTCCATATTCATACATAGATATGCTTTACTTAACACAATAGATGAGTTTTTGAAAAGAGAGGTGTAAGTCACCTTTAAAAAAATAGTAAAGCCTATTTTATATTCACCAGGGGAGCTAACTATTTAAAGTACCCTGTTATTAATGCTTTTTTTCAGGTGAAGAATCCTTTTGCTGGATGACTATGGATCTCCACTAATTTATCAGTTTTGAAAGATCAGGTTAGAATGTATAAAACTGAGTGCACACTTATATAACACGTCTCTCTGCATACGATACCTGCTAAGCATCTCATCAGAGTGGTCCACTGGGACCTTAGGTTCAGGACATTTTATCCTGAGCTCATCATTTTTCCCTAAATCCTCTTCTTCCTGTGCTTCCTGTTTTACCCAGGCCTGAAACATCAAGTTTCTCTCTTGATATCTCCCCTCTTCATTGTCCCCTCAGCATGGCTCTGCTTCACATCTGTGAATGTTCTCACATCTCCAGTATTCGCTCTGAGATCCTCTGCCTCTATTATAGTTCAGGTGCCCAAGACATTGCAATGGGCTTCTTAACTTTTTTCCCGTGACTACTTTTCCATCTTTTCAAATGCATATTCCCACATTCAGCAATTCAAGGAAACCCCCAAGAGCGTGGTTCTTATCCTTCCCCTCCCTGCTCACCTTCTTCCCATCATCTTGCCTATAGTTCACAATATGAATGCCGTAGCATGGGATCCCAAGCCCTGCCCACGACCAATGCATGTACCTCTCTGACCTCATCATCACTACTCATTCGTACATCCTCATGTACCATGAGGGACAGCCATGATGAAACTTTTACTCTACCCCTGCAGCCCTGAGTGTGACAGGTAGGACCCTGTATCTTCATCTCCCCTGGCCTGCAGTGCCCCTCAGACCACCCCATTCTGCTCAAATCCTGTCCATCTTTCCAAGAACAGCCCAAGCACCTCATCTTCTTTAGAGCCTTCTCTGTCTTCAGGCAGAAATAAACTCTCCTTCTATAGTACTTTAGGCAAATCATTTTTATAACACATATCTCTTTTCTGGCATATTATTATTCCCCTTCTCATATCTTCCTCACCCACCTGTACTCTTCCTGCCCCTGGGTCCTATCTTAATCCTCTCCTTTATCTTTTTGCCTTCTAGCATCTGCAGTGAGTGCTTCATAAAAATGTGCCAATGGCTGTATGAAGGTCCCTGTTCTTATTGATGTTTTATTATTGACACGTGCTGCACTGAATTGTAAGCTTTGTGAGGTCTGGAGCTGTCTCTTTGGCTTTCTTACCTCCATCCCTTCCCATACAGTCCCCACAGATGGTGTCTATTGTGCTAGCTGAATTCTCCATTAGCCCTTGTGTGTTCAAGTTTACAGGACCCTGATGTTGCATACACAGCAGATTGGGAATTCATCCCAGGCATTCTGGCGTCGGGTTTGTTTATTCTTTCATTCATTTATTTATAGCCCATGTGGTGGGCATGAATTTCAGGCCACAACCGTAGGGTGCAAGAAATGTCACATTTCTTTATTTCTCTAAATCAAATTAGTCAGTGCCAAGCTTCCACCTGCAGGGCTGGCAGGAAATTCAGCCTGTCTTTTGAGAGTCCTCCCATTCACCTAGGATTGTACAAAAGCCTCAGGGATTCTTATCAGTTCTGAAGAGTTGAGGAAGAGCTCCTTGGGTTGAGGATCACACTTGTCATCTCCTAGCCCATGTGGTCTGCAAGCCAGTGTTTCCTCTGTTTCCATGTTAAGAGAGCTTGAGAACTCAGGCTGGGAGCATCTAGTCCCTTCTGAGATCCCTCAGAGTTCCAGAGCACTGTGAGAAGAGCCCCAGCCTCCACCACTCACAGTACCTCCAGAAACCAGGCCCTTCTCAGCCTCAGGGACCCTTCTCAAGACCTACTCCCTCCTTGAGTTGGTTTCCTCCCACTTCAAGGCTGGATGAGGCTGTCTTTTAGCATCCAGCAGCTTCTGCCTTTAGCCAGACAAGTTGATAATAACCTCTGAGGCTAGGACATATACAGTTCTCCAGACAAGGGAAGGAAAATACCTCTTGTTCCTTTTAGCCTCTTTCAGTAATGTAAAACAAAAAACCCAAGAACAAAAAAACCCCAAAACATTACTCTTACTATCTACATTATTTTTCTGTCATGTATCTCAATAAGGTGATTTATACTGAGTACATTTGTCATAAATTTGTGACAGTATACAATAGAAATAAACAGTTTGTTCCAAGAAAAAGTGTGGATAGTTTTGGGTTTGGAAAAGAACCCAAAATTCCATTAACTATATTTGTTATAGTTAAGCTTTATATTTGTCTCTAAGTTTCCTGGTAGCCAAAGTGAAAAGGGAGATGTGGTTTCATGACTCTCTTATTAGAAAGGGAGAAACAATCCATTTCTCAAAATAAGCATGGTTTTCTTATTACTTGGCTCTGAATACATTTCTCATGTGAAGTTTATGAAGTAGATTAGAAGCATAAAGTCTTCTACAAAATCCTTAGACTATTGCATGAACATCTCTGCTTCTTATGGCTTGTGTCTCCTAATAACACCTTAGGAGGGTAAGTGTGCCTGCGGGCCTGCACGTTCTTTTAAGTTACCCTCCTATGTTTATGAATAATGTAGAACTAAAGAAAAAAAAAGAGATCTTCTAATATGGATTCTTCTCCCTTCATAAATGACAGGACTAGGCAAATAGGCCTGAGGTTCTATCAGTGGTTGAGGGAACATATGAGGAAGAGCATATTGGACCCTCAGTAAGGACAGTGAGAACTGATTGGCCACTGGATGGAAAATATGAGATTGTGGGAAATAGACGAATATGTGTGAGATTGGTAAGCCGGCCCGATTCAAGTCTTAGAGTGAGTCTTTACTGACTGTGAGAACTTGGACAAGTCATTTAGTTTCCTCATCTGTAAAATTAGGATAGTATTATCTACCTCAATGGTTTTTCTGTGCACTAAAAAGGTTCTCTGCAAACTGAGAAGTGCTAAGGAAATGCTGCTCATTATCATTGTTGTTACTGGTTGTAGTTGTAAAAATTAAACATTCCAGGCAGGAAAACAGCATGAAAGGAATCTTGGCAAAGAACAAAATGTATTCAAAAGTCAGTGATTGTAACACTTCCAGAATGGCAGAGTAGGTACCTCCAAAAAAACCACATCTCCATAAAAGCAACAAGAACACTGGCAAAAATTGTCAAAATCATTTTTTTTAACTCTAGAAATTAACCAAAGACTTGAAACAATCCGGGGAGCATTTGTTTAAGAAAGATGGCTGAATTGGCTGGGCACGGTGGCTCACGCCTGCAATCCCAGCACTGGAAGGCTGAGGTGGGTGGATTGCTTGAGGCTAGGAGTTCAAGACTAGCCTGGCCAACATGGCGAAACCCCATCTCTACAAAAATACAAAAAATTAGCGGGGCATAGTGGCACACATCTGTAGTCCCAGTCACTTGGGAGGCCGAGGCATGAGAATCTCTTGAACCCAGTAGGCAGAGGTTGCTGTGAGCCGAGATTGCCCCACTGCACTCCAGCCTGGGCGACACAGTGAGACTCTGTCTCAAAAAAAAAAAAAAAATTGCTGAATCTCACTAAGAATAAAGAGCTTCGTGGGATTTTAACTTGCCCTATTCCCATTCACCTCTCCTCAGCTCTGCAGTAGTCTTAAAAACCAACAGCCTCACAACAATAGCTGTGAAAATCAGCAGCCTAGCAGCCACTAGAGGGGGCAGAATGGAGTTGGAACACCTACCCTCCCCCTCCCCCGGCCAACGCCAAACTCCATCTCCAGAGAGTTATTACTATATGGCCTGTCTGGCAACTCCCTGGAGATGCACCATTCTTAGGGCTTCTCTTTATTTAACCAGGCTCCAGGCTTACCGAGTTCATACAGTCATATCTCTATGGCATTTGTCAAAAATATCAATGGTAATGCTGGGTGCGGTGGCTCACACCTGTAAGCCTAGCAGTTTGGGAGGCTGAGGCAGGTGGATTACTGGAGGTCAGGCATTTGAGACCAGCCTGGCCAACATTGCGAAACCCTGTCTCTACTAAAAATACAAAAATTAGCTGGGCGTGGTGCATGTGCCTGTAATCTCAGCTCCTTGGGAGGCTGAGGCAGGAGAATCACTTGAACCTGGGAGGCGGGGGTTGCAGTAAGCTGAGATCGTGCCACTGCACTCCAGCCTGGGTGACAGAGCAAGACTCCATCTAAAAAAAAAAAAAAAAAAAAAAAAAAAAATATATATATATATATATATGGCAAATAAGGGACTAACCAAAATAATTAAAAGAAAAACCTGGAGAATGAGATGCCACAGGGGCTTTTAAAAGCTTTGAAAAATTTCTAAGAATTTAGAATGCCATGCACACAAGTAGGACTGTGCACATACTCAGGAAAGCCCTAAGAAGGATCTAATCTTTCACCTTTGGCTGATTTTGAGGCTATGCAAATAGGAAGTGAAGAATGAGGCAGAGTTATAAACAGCTAGTGTAGAAAGTGTGCTCCAACACACACACAGAGCCTCTCAGCGAAGTCTGGGAGACGTATTGATTCAAAACATTTAAGGAAATCCCTGTTCAATCAAGGCTTCAGTGACTACACTGATTAGTTCAGGAGAGTCACTAAACCACAAGCAGGAGTAGCATCAGCAGCAACCACAAATATTAGCAAAAACACACCCTGGGGAAAGATTTCCATAGTTTCCACATTATATGAATTGAAATGTTTAATTTTAAACAACAGCAAAGATTAAGAGATATGCAAAAGTATGGGAAAGCATGACTTCTACAAAGAGGGGAACAAAGCAGTCAATAGAAACTGTCCATATGGAAGCTTACACTTTCAACTTACTAAACACAGACTTTAAAATCTGCTGCTTAAAATATGTTCAAATAACTAAAGGAAGTAGTGTCTAGAAAACCAAAAGTGAGTATGAGAACATTGTCTGATTAATTAAAGAATACCAGTAAGTAGGTAAAATTATTGATTTAAAGGAACTAAATAGACATTCTGGAGTTGAAAAGTATAATAACTGAAATGAAAAGTTCACTAGAGGGACTCAACAGCAGATTTAAATTGACAGAAGAAAGAGTCAATAAACTTGCAAATAGGTTAACTGAGATTATCCAGTCTGAGGAACAGGATGAAAAAAGAATGAATATAAATGGACAAAACATCAGAGACCTATGGAACACCATAAAGCATGCCAACATATGCATAATAAGCATGCCAGAAGGAAAGGGGAGGGAGAACATGCTTGAAGAAATAATAGCCAAACACTCCTCAAATTTATGAAAAACATTTATCTACATATAGAAGAAGTTCAACAGACTCCAGACAGGATAAACTCAGGGAAATTTTCACCTAGACACGTCATAGTAAAAATGTCAAAGATGAAGACAGAATCTTGAAAGCAGGAAGAGAAAAGAGATTTGTAAGGGATTCTCAGTAAGATTAACAGCTGACTTCTCATTGGAAACCTTGGAGGCCAGAAAGCAGTGTTATTTACATTAAAAATGCTGAAAGAAAAAGACTGTCAACCAAGAATTTCATATTCAGTAGAGACTATTCCTCAGAAATGAAGGAGAAATTAAAACATTCTCAAATAAACAAAAACTGAGAGAAATTGTTTTAGAACTGCCCCACAAGAACTACTAAAGAGAGATTTTCAGGTTGCAGTGAAAGAACAGTAGGCAGTAACTCAAATCCACATGAAGAAATAAGAACAGTAGTAAAGGTAACTACAGAAGTAAACAAAAAAGGTAATTAAATGTATTTTTGTCTGTAACGCTTTTCCTATCTAACTTAAAAGACAGCCACATAAAGCAATAATTATAAAACTGTGTTGATAGGCTTATAATGCATGAAGACATAATTTGTATGACAGTTCTCTACACAAAGTGGGGAGGAGGGAAAAGAGGTATGAGGAAAGTTTTTGTATACTGTTGACATTAAGTTGGCATTAATTCAAACTATACTGTTTTAAATTAAG
Source organism: Homo sapiens (assembly GCF_000001405.40). Taxonomy (NCBI): domain Eukaryota; kingdom Metazoa; phylum Chordata; class Mammalia; order Primates; family Hominidae; genus Homo; species Homo sapiens. Next base: position 31,036,331 of record NC_000002.12, on the reverse strand, counting down.
GTGTTAATTGTAATCTCCAGGGAACTACTAAGAAAATAAGTAAAAAAAATAGCAACAAGGGAACAAAAATGGTATGCTAGAAGATATCCATTTAACATAAAAGAAGGCAGTAATGGAGAAATAGAGGAACAAAGACATAAGGCATACAGAAACCTAAAGCAAAATGACAGAGATAAATCCTACCTTATTACTAATTACATTGAATATAAATGGAATAAACACTTCAATCAAAAAACAGAGCGTGGCAAAATGGATTGAAAAATAAGATCTAACTATTTGCTCTCTATAAGACACACACTTTATTATGTTTTTTAATTTAACTTCTAAGTTCAGGGTTACATGTGCAGATTTGTTATGTAGGTAAAGTTGTGTCATAGGAGTTTATTGAACACATTATTTTGTCACTCAGGTATTAAGCCTAGTACCCATTAGTTATTTTTCCTTATCCTGTCCCCCCTCCCACCATCCACCCTACAGTAGTCCCCAGTGTCTATTGTTACCCTCTAGCTGTCCATGTGTTCTCATCATTTAGCTCCCGCTTATAAGAGAGAACATAAAGTATTTGGTTTTCTGTTCCTGTGTTAGTTTGCTAAGGATAATGGCCTCTGGCTCCACCCATGTTCCTGCAAAGGACATGATCTGATTCTTTTTTATGGTTGCATAGTATTCCATAGTGTGTGTGTGTGTGTGTGTGTGTGTGTGTGTGTGTGTGTAGGTGTGTGTGTGTGTGTATATGTATATGTATACACACACACACACACATACACACACACACACATTTTCTTTATCCAGTCTACCATTGATGGGAATTGATTGATTCCATGTCTTTGCTATTGGGAGACACACTTGAGATTCAAAAACACAAATAGCTTGGGATAAATGGATAAATGTTGAAGATGTAACATCCACACAGTAAACAAAAGAGAACCATATGAATATTGCACAGAATAGACTTTAAGACAAAATTTTTACTAGAAACAAGAACATTTTATAATTATAAAAGGGTCAATCTATCAAGAAGACATAACAAATGTGAACATATATGCATCTAATGGCAGAGCCCAAAATACTGAAGCAAAAATTGAATTTAAGGAAAAAATAGACCATTCAATAATTATAGGTAGAAACTTCAATACCTCACTTTTGATAATAGGTAGAATGGCTAGACAGAAGAACAAGGAAATAGTAATACTACAAACTACTTGAACAACACCGCAAACTAACTTGGCCTAATAGATACTTATAGAACAGTCCACCCAGTAAGAGCAGACTATATCTTCTAAAGTGTACGTGGAACATTCTCTAGGATAGGCCATATGTTAGACCGTAACACAACCTGAATACGTTTAAAAGGATTGAAATCATACAAAGTAGATTTTCCAACCACAATGGAGTGAACTTGGAAATCAATGATGAAAGGATATTTGGGAAATTCACAAATATGTGGAAAGTAAGTGACACACTCCTAAATAACTAATAGGTTAAAGAAGAAATCACAGGAGAAATTAGAAAACAGTCTGAGACAAACAAAAACAAAAACACAACATATACAAATTTATGAGATGCAGCTAAAGTAAAGCACTGCTTAAAGGGAAACTTAAGGCTATACATGCCTTGCTTTAAAAAGAAGAAAGATCTGAAATCAATAACCTAAATTTCTACCTTAAGAAATTAGAAAAAGAAGAGCAAACTAAACTAAATCTAAAACAACTGAAGGAAGAAAATTAATAAAGATTAGAGCAGACAGAAATCAAACAGATAATCAAAAAAAAACAAAACAACTAGAAAAAGATCAAAAGTCAGTGACTGGAATAGCCACTAGGAACCAGAGGGTCTAGTCAGGTAAAGCTGCAAAGGACAGTGAGTGAGGCTGTTTTGTGAAGGGCTGTGGTGCTAGGCTGCATTCTATTTTGAAGTGTGAGCTGGAAGGAGACATTGAAACTTTCTCCTGAAAGAGAAACAAAATAAAATAAGTATTATAAAGGATTATTTTGGTGGCAGTGTTCCAGATGCACTATAAGTAGCTAAAGAATAAAATTAGTAAGGTGAAGCAAGAGGCCATGTAATAATCCAGGCAGCTAGGGACACAACCCTAGAGTGGAATAGTGGCGTAGAGGGTCAGGGTTGGTGCAAGGGAGATTAAGAAGGAAGAGAGATGTCACAGGATTTGATGGCTATTTGGACCTTTGGTCTGAGAAGTCACA